>NC_000002.12:156580527-156883557 GCF_000001405.40 Homo sapiens
AAGCAGCTAGGTTTTTTTCTGTAGTGCTTCTTGGGCAGGTATTTCAAATGAATGCCAGGTCTTGCTTGCACCATGGCAATGATGAATGCTGAACATGAAATAAATTAATGCTGGGGATTTTGGTCAATGTCAGCCCTTTCTTCACTGTGTCAAGTTAAACAAACAAGATCAAGGCAAAGGAAATGGTAATTGTCTCTCTGGAGATGAGCTGCAGATAAGAGCATTGTTGAATCTAAATGCAGAAAATTTTCACAGGTTGTGTCCAGCATTACAAAAAAGAATGTTTGGTTCTTTAGCTTACTGTTTAACTAAATACACATTTTAAATTAAATTTAAAATTTATGCTTGGGAATTAAAACACCATTTAATGCATTTTTTGTGTAGTTTTTCTGGAGAATATTTTATTGTTGCCCTCACAATGTTAGAAAACTTTTCTTCAAAGAAATGGCCTGTGCTTCATTTCATGTGTTGTAAATAAACAGCAGAATTTAGGGTTGAAAGACATGGCACTTTAGAAACAATAAGAATCTGATTTTATGAATATGCTATGTGGTTTAGGTTTTAAGTAATTTTCTTGAATGCAGTTGAGTTAAAAGCAGGAGATAATTGAAACTATCTGCAGGTTTTCTTGTAGAGTTTTTTTTTTAAATAATTGAGTATTTTTTGTCCAATTCCAAATGAAAGGGACTATTCATGCTTTTACTAAGAACAAATACACAGTGTGATTTTCAACTTTAAAATGCTGACCATATTCCTCATGAAATATATTCACACCCAAATGTTATTTTTTTCTTGTAATATGGTTTCTAGATACATGTAGTGTTTAAAGAAAACTTTTGAGTTTTTAGAAGTTGGCACATCATATACTGTCTATGGCTTAAAAAACCTCTAGCTTTGTCAGTTGTGTTAGCTCTGATAAACTTTGCAGGTCTTCCTGGAATCAGAGACAAAGCAATAAACAATAAATTGTTCCGTCTTTAGATGTCAGCATTGCTTATGTTACATCATTCCTCAGATGTAAAGTATATTTGAAGGGTTTTTTTAGTTTTTTTAAAATATTTTGCTCTTCTGCAGACTAAGAGCCCATGTTTATCCCATTAAATATATTTTTTGAATATAGATACGGTTTTTCATTAATCTTCACAGAAGGATCACTATAGATATCTCATGGTTATATGACTTTATTTCTAAGTCTGGGTTTTAATGACACTTTTGCATGTAGGAGTCCATCTCTAATAAGCAATAGCTTGTGAAACAGCTTTTAATAAGGTCATGAAATTCTGATCCAGCCCCTTGGCAGATGTCTCTGACTCTTATTCAGAGCTCTTTTTAAGCAACGTGTCTCTATAGGCTAAAAGCTATAACCCTAAAAATATTTTGAGAATTTACATACATACATAGATACATCATATATATATATAATGTGTGTGTGTGTATATATATAATGTGTATATATATATGATGTGTGTGCATGTGTGTATATATTTATATGATGAATAGCTAAATCTTTTCTTTTTAAAACAAATAAAAAAGATTAGGGAAGTGAGATCAAGAAGAGCAAATAGTTGAAACCACATCAAACTTGAAAAGGAAAAAAATCCCTATGCTCATAATTGCAAAGTGCCTTCCAGATTAAAGGCCTTTGCCCGCTGCCTGCATGTAATTTCAAGACTAATTCTGATTTTATCCATTGGATAAAAATGAATTAGCTAAAATCTGGGCTGTAGAGTGCTTTTAATTCTTAAGGTAGATCTCTGGGTCCATTTTCAAGGAATTAAATGTAAATTACGTTAAAAAGTCTTTAAGGAATTTGGATTTAGGGGACTCGAAGTTGTCAAGTACAGTAACATTAAAAAAAAGGGTAGACAAATATAGGTCATGGTTTGTCTTTGTTCAATCCCTGAGATTCCTTTTTAAGATTTTAAATGGAATTAAAGATCCAATATTTGAAGTTGCTAAAAAAAAAAAAAAAAGTGCCTTGAGCACATTAAAGGACAAAAAATGATGCATTAAGATTTGCTTTTAGAGGCAGGGTGATTTACTAGATGGATGTAGTTTTTGTGGCAGTGTTGAAATACCTGCCTCTTCCCCTCTTTTGGAAACGTTTAAAAATTAGACTCTTCTTATCTGAGCTGTAGTACTTGTTAAGGTTTTTGATGGAGCACTTAATTACCTCTGTCTGCTGCAATTCTAACGATTATGATGCCATGAAGAAGAGAGTAAGTTGGCCTGCGTTCTGAATCTGTTGCATATTTTCTCTTTAAGCTGATGAGTGCTATTCAAAAAGGAAGGGTATCTGGAAGCCGGCTTGCTATACTAATGAAAACTGCAGAAGAGAACCTCGACAGAAGAGTTCCAATTCCAGTGGACCGTAGTTGTGGAGGATTGTGAGTCTGGGCAGTAAATCCACAGCCAACAAACATAGAAACGACAAATCACCATGTAACAACCAGAGATGACTGAAACCACTCTGAAATAATGAATGTGGATAGCTGCCTTTTTTAACACTAGAAAACATTCCAAAACTTTAAGGTGTTGGTGTATTTGCCAGCTTTATTTGCTGTACTTTATTTGTATTTGCCATTCAGTCTAGCTTTTAAGTATATTTTTTTCTTTTTCTCATTTTCAATGCACATTAGTTTTGCATCTGTTTTGTGACCTGTTAGATGTGACACATTCTCTTTTTGTTTATTCCCTTATTCTAAATGAGTTCTAAAAACATAATATTTTGGCAAAAATTGAAAAAAGCTGGAGACATTTTGTGACATGCATACAGATAGCATGTGTTATTAAAAAGAGTTGCCTATTGAAATGATCATGTTTCTGGAGAAATTAAGCTTATAGACAGCATGTGTTATTAAAAAGAGTTACCTATTGAAATGATAGTGTTTCTGGAGATTTCTCAGCCCCATCTTCCTCCAGCTTGTCTACCTTCCTCATGCAAACAATATTCCACATTTTTATATCTAGAGCATGACTGGCTAACTGGAGAGGGAAGGAAAAGTTTAGATCTGGTTACTGGAGCAAGTCTCAAAGAGAAACTCTGAAAGCTTCCAGAATCACAGGTATAAGATAAGGATAGCATTGACATTTGCTGGGAGTTACAGTGATAGTTTCATCTCAGCAGTTCATTTTTTTCTTCAGTCACTGCTGGTTTTCTTTGACTATTATAGTTGCCAGGAAGATCCTTGCTCTTCTTACTTTAAAACCAGCATTTAAGTGGCAATTTGGATGTAATAGGATGAGACCAAATTTATCTAATTATTACAGTAGTAATACATTTAAGAGTTAAAAATGTGTTTTTATATATCCACATATGATAACAAAAGATTCAATTCCCAAGCCTAAATTTTGAAGCATGTGGTATTGTCAAATCTAGCTTACCATCTTTTTTGGGGGTACTTGCAACCATAGTAAAGGAAGATGGAATAGACTTTAGTTAACTTTAATTATAATTATATGTTAAATAAGGCACATAACCAGTTTCCAAGGTCATCATGGTTGCTTAAAGTCTTTCCCCTTCTGTACTCCATGGAAATATTCTCAGTAAACCAAAAACAAAAATGGAAAAATAATCACCAACCCCCATCCCGACACACACACAGAGTCCAAAGCAAAAGTCAGTGTGTATTGAATTTAACAAGTAATGCAGTTTGGGATGCTTTTGCTACATTTTGGTGGCATTTTAACTAGTTATCTGAATATTTATTAATCGTACTTCCTCTTGTAAAGTTAACTACTTACTTTTTTGTTGTTGTTTTTTTAACATCAGGTTCTGTATCTAATAGGAGATGTAACACTTTATTTCATGGCAGGTTTTTATTGCAGAGACTTGAAGTCTTAGTTTTTTAAACTGGCACATAAAACACTTTTTGCTGTTATTTTTATTTATGTCAATACTGCAGAGTATCTTTATGCCTTATTCAAGTGGATTCTGAGCCTGTATGTCACAATGTAAACACTGGAGGTTCACTCACCTACGCACTCACCCACCACCTCTGAAAGAAACAGAAACTGCAGAGAAAGACAGCATCTTAGCTCATTTTGTTTTTAAATGAGGTTTTAGACGCTTGCCACTTCCTAAGGGAAATCCTAAAACAGAGCAAGTGATGCTCCCAGGTATCACTGTGAACTTTTTTCTTTCAAAGTGTGAATTTTTACACTGGCTTTTTCATTTTTTTAAAGTAATTGAAGCTTGTGGCTTTACAACTTAGTGTTTTTTGCTATCCAGATAACAAGTTTCATTGTTTAGAACCCAGTGACACTTAATAGGTAGATAAATTGTCCTTTAAAATATCCCAGATGATATACACAATATGGTACATTTGTGCTCTCTCTCTCTGTTTTTCTCTCTTTCTCTTTCTAGTTAGATCAAGATAACGATGACTTGTACCCTCCCTGATTCTGTTACAGTAGGGCCCGGGCAGATCTGTGTTTGTTAAACAGGCCTTGTTTGTGCATGCTTTGCTATGAATGAAGTTCCTTTAAGGACAAAGAAAAGCACACTTTTCTTCTTTTGAGCATATCTGCTTTTACTTTAAATCTGCTAATTTCTAAAATGTAGAGTCCTTCACCAATCCCAGAGACTCAATTTGGAAATGAACTGATTTCAAGCCGTTACTGTGAATAAAGCACCCCAGCATTTTGTATAAGCTCTTAATTAAACCTGTACAGCTTCTTTACCTGATTTAAGAAAGGGAGACAAGCAATAGGGGGGAATAAGCTTCTTCAAAATTCATTCCAAGCACAAAAGAAATTTTTTCCCTTTGCATATAAACTTGACATCAGTTGATTCTGTTGGGGTCGGGGTGGGTATGCAGGGATTGCCTTTTATTATCAAGTGATTTATTTCAAGAGCCTTTGAGGGGATTCAGGTGAAGGAACCCCCATCTGTGCTGGAGAGTTGGATACTCCTTTAAATAGCCCCCACCACAGTCATAACAATAATGATAATGCTGGATTATTTGTTAAGCCAAGGTTGTCTGCCTCATATCCATCATGCTGTTTGCAATATTCTTGCTTTCAATCAATTTATACTGAGTGTAACTTTAGGATTTCTGCTATTAAATGCATGCTCTCTATCCTGCTTCAGTTTCTGGCTTTGCTTTGTCTGTTTCAAAATATGTAGCTTCCTCTTTTGTACAACAAAAAACTCATTCTCACTTTTACTAAATATACTGTAGGAGTCATCATTGATGTTATTTTTCTCTTATGTATCTGTAAAGATTTTTGGCATATGAATGTAATATTAAAGTCAATGATGCTATAACTTGCGATGTTTGCATCATGTCAACCTTTTTGAAGGAGTGAAAAAGCCCTACTATGTTTTTAAATAGCAAGTGTAAGCTCAGTGCTAGAGTGGATATACACACCGCATGTTTTCATATGTGGCACTTTTATGTATCATGTTGGGTTATTGTTCTAGACTGGACTGTTAAATACTATGTTTGAGGCTGGGTTGTCATTTTTATAACTGTCTTGGTGTTTTATGGCCATTATTTATTACTTTTGATACACAGAATGAGCTGCATGCATTTATAGAGCAATAAGAGGATGTATTTAATGTGCCTTGTTTTTAACTGAATAAGAACTGGAAGCATGAATCAATAAAACTGATTAAAATGGTCTATTTGCTAGCATTTTGATGTTACTTGCAGTCAGATAACTTTGATTACTGTTGAAGTTTAAAAAAAGTTTGAAAATATTTTTACAAACTGTGTTTTTGATGACACAAAAGTGAAATATCTACAGAGATAGATGTAATTTTATAAGACTGCCAGAATTATTTGTATTAATTTGTTGCTGTAGCCTTTAGGGCATGACTTCTGTATTTGTGCAATCCTATTCTACAATTACATTCATCCTATTACAACTCAGTTGAATTCTTTTTTCCTTTTATTTCCTTATTTATTTATTTATTTTTTTAAATCTACCAGAGCCTTTCAGCCTAAGCGTTCCCAGGCACACTGATGAATTTTATCATAACTAAAATCAATAGAAATGAATGGGAAAGATTACATAATCCATTTTGATCATCTTACATGTCAAGTTAGTGCAGGGTTGCCAAGTGTTGATAAATGCTCTGACAGAAAAAAATGCTATATATTTTCATTGTCAGTAAATCAGTAAAGCTGTTATCAGTTTTAACACAAATTTTATAATGCCCATGTTATTTTATGGGGTTTAATTTACACACGTAGATGGAGTATATTCTCCATTTGTGGTTTAGATGTGCTGCCTCCTGGTTCTGCATGCCCAAAGGCATGTGTGAGCTTCTGAAGGTTCTTTGAAATCGTATAGAATACCCCAAAGCAAGGGCTCCCAGACAGACTTGGAACAATAAACTGTTTGTTCAGTGCCTGGAAAAAAATACATGGCAGCTTAAAACATTTTTTGTTGATCTAGCTTATCAAATCTGTTAGTGCTTTAAAATTTTTTAATATCTAATTTATCAAAATATTGCTCCCAATTGTATAAAATTTATGGTCATCAAAAAAATATGATACTAGCATCAATATTTTACTATCTTTATCAACACTGTACTGTCCCTGGTATCAGATTTCACCTGATGACATTTGACTTATGAAGGAAGGAAACAACAAAAGTTTTAAATTGATCTGGCACCCTCATAGTGAAACAAATTCTGTATAGGAGACAGAGATGATGAGCTTTTTGTGCATGTGTTTTGTATTTTAGGTCTCTAATTAGCTGCCTAACTTGTGAAATACAGGCACAGAACATGATGTATTGAGCCTTGACGATACCAGAGGTAGTCCTGTGGGTCCTGAGCTCTTTGCAAAAAGTAATAGATATCTTTATATTTTGTTAAATACCTGGTCCAGAATAATAAGACTCATGTGATCTAAGCAAAATACTACTTTAGCAGAATTATCAGGACCATCTTTGTTCTCCACATTTGGCATTTGAATTGCATTGCTCAGCATACCCTACCGTGGGTTCCCTGTTAATTGTATTCACATTGGAGTTGCTTCAATCTAGGGAGGTTAAGGTTTGTATGCTGTAGTCATAGGTAATATATCATCTTTCAGTAGAGGAGGTGGGAGGATTGAGTTTCATAGTACCTACCTTGATTATTAGTGCATGGCCCAGACTACAACTAGTTCCACCAGCTTCTGAGCCATTCATGCCCATGGTCTGTGCCTACAGCAGACATCCCTGCTCTCCTTTTCCAAGTACAGTGACTCCTGTAGAGCCTAGGATCAGTTTTTTCATTTGCTGCTGCTAGCTTTCCTTCATTGTACCAAGCAGTTGGGAGGTGTGAAATACATATATATGTATATGCTTTGGCCCTGGTGCCTATAAAATAATAGTTTTGGTTAAGGACAATCTTGAATTGGAGGCAAATCTTTCATAACCACAGAATTTCTTTATTTGTTTTAGTCTTATACTATAAAACTAGATCTAAATTTATTATTTAAATCCAATTTAGGCATATCTGATTTTGCTTTAAAAGCTATCTTATTGTTTGTCTAAGTGATCTAAACGTAATGACCTCAATCAACATATCACTATTCTTTAACCTGACCTTAATGCCCTCTTAAACAGAGGCTTCCCTCTCTGCTACCTCCTGCCTCCAAAGATTCAAAGTAAATAGTCACGTCTTCCCTTTTAATTTCTTGCTTAGATTTTTCTCACCTTTGCTTCAATATCATTTTTTGTTTTTCATCTCCATCATTAATTGATTTACAGTTCATTTTTCTGCATACAGAGTTTTTCCTATCCAAGTTGAGAAGCTGTAAATCTTAGATCCATTGAAATGACAGTGAGAAATATTTCATTTTATCCCATGAATCATTTGCCATCCTTATTGCAGACAAATGGCAAAATTATGGTGTACCATGTTTTCATAAATTACTCTGCCGCCCCCCCACCCCCATTCCCAGTTCATTTCATTATCTGTTTGGAAAGACTATAAGAGTCAGAACCCAGACACTTGCGGTAAACAATTCTGATTTTACAGCAGGCTAATCAAAATTTCATAACATTAAAATTAATTCCTCTGGTACTGTGAAGAATTTAATTCATGTACAAAATATATCATCTATTTTATAAGTCAAAAATAGCTTGATATTAAAGTACATTCTGTGATTTGCTAGTATAGCAAAGGGGAAGAGTGCCAAATTCTTTAAATAATGTATATAATTTTCATAGGATTTCATATGTCAAAGTAGTCATTTATGGCCTGAAAAGTATGTGCTTCGCACTATGTGTTTGAACACTATTAAAAAATCATGGCTTCTTCCAAAAAGGACAAATCTTAGGTTTTCATTTCACATGTGACCTAGAATGAAATAACTTATATGGGGACCACCCTGAACCCCCATTAGGAATACCCCCAAAAGTAAAAACCTGAAAATATTTCTAAAGCTAAATATTTTTAAAAAGCAATAAATGAAATCAGTTTTTATAATGTTATAATGTTACTAAAGAGATTTGGCTATTTTCCTTAATCTCTGTTTTATTGTCAGATCTTTTAAGAAACCATCATCTATTTTATTGTTGGATCTTTTAAGAAACTGTGGTCACTTATTTATACAGTTGAAAAAGTCAAGTTTATCCTGATAAATATAGTTGTCATAGTGAGCTGCTAAACTGTTTTCAAAATGGGCCATTTTTTAAATGGAGCTTATCCAGCTTGATCCATGCTTGAAGCAGCACTGAACCATTAAATAAAAACCTGGGACAAAATGCCTTTGAAAAGGGTTAATTAGCTTTAATATTGACTTATTCCATATAGGACGGTAATAGACTAGAACATTTATTTCTGTTTTGGATCATTAAAAACTGGCATTAGTTCTTCAACAATTTGTTTCTAATAAATAAAAATTGGACCAATTAGAGTAGTTTTAGTATAAGCCACAGTTCATGATACACTTCTTATGAACACAAACACGTGATCACTATTTCCCAATTCATCGTAATTCCATCAGAAACATTGTCTGCAAAATACAAGATCATTAAGCTCCAGAAAGGAGCATTTCTATTTTAACCCTAAAAACAGGTGGAGTGTGGAAGGAGTTAATGTATGGCCTGAAAACTCCCTAAAGCTAAATTGGCATATGCTGTCCTTGGTGTCATTTTTCTCTAACAGTAGGATGCGTTCCCATCTTCTTCATTACTTAGTTTTCTCCATTCATTGGCTTTACACTTGTAAAATATTAGTACATCGAAAAAGTTTACCTCAGGAAAAGTGCTTGTCAATCTGCGGGGGAAACGTCCCTTGCTGTGCTTAGTTTTTGTTCTTATGCTGCCCTCTAATGGATACCAAATTATTTCATTAAACCCAGAACAAAAGTAAATTTTCAGCTTCTCAGGGCTCCTGCATCATCCCATTACTGTTGGAAATTGTTATCTGACCATTTTCCCCTTTGCATACATGTTGGTGTAGCACAGCTCGTACTAATTGTGCGGAGTCACCCTGGCCAAAGTTGCATTCCTGTTCTGGGAAGTAGAGGGACAGCGATGCCAATTTGTGCACTGTCGAACTTTCCTTTTTTCTCTGCCAGCAATTGGAAAGAATTGATGTTCTGGGGGACTTAAAAATGAGGAATAAAAACAGTGTAAGTGCTGTATTAAGACGATATGCTGTATGTTTTATCAGCCACTGGCACCTAGTTCAAAAGACAAAAAAATTAGCAGCAGTGGTTTGGGAATAGGCCTGTGCATGAGGTGGATATCAAATCCATACATGAAGAATATCAGCACTTTTCACATGCTGCTTTCTGACACCCATTGCTAGAGCTGAAAACTATCTCTATTGTCCAGTTTGATTGCTTGAATCAAACTGATTTACAGCAAATCCATCTGAGCTTTGATAAATCTATTACAGTTTCATTTCACTGATTTCATTAACGTGAATAAAACCAGCCATGCTTTCTGCATAACTGCCTTTTAATGGCTTGGCCCTGTCACCTGCCTGAATATTAATCCCCCTGACTTATTGCTCCACAGAGGGAATGAGTAATGGGTATTTGAATGTGATCAGCACAGTACAATGCAATTAAGGAAGCAGTACTGTTCTGTGCCTTTAATCCTGAACTAATTTGAATTGCAGTTTGATAGCACAGTGAATCCTGCATAATTATGTAGGGTGCATATTAAACTCTGTGACAAACTGGAGAAGCTTTTAACCATCACAGCTATGGTAGACAAGTGAAGGCTAGAGTCAGAGAACCCACTATTGGACTGAGAGTACAATTAATAGAAAACCTTCAGCAGGGAAAGCTTGGGAGAGCAACACATCTTGGAACAAAAATACGAAGTGTTGATTTGTTTCAAATAGATTTTAAATTGCAAGCATTTGGACTTTAAGAGTTTCCTTTGATTCACAAGGTAGCAAGGGAAAAACTGTTTCTAAACAAAACTTTGTATTGTCTTGGTGCTTTCAGCAGTTAGAAAAACAGTAGCTGTAATACTTCACAGCACCTTAACTTCCTAGCTATCCAGTTATTTGATACTCTGCAGTTCTGCAAATGGTGCATTGATGATAGAATATTTACTGTTTATATACAGATCCTTTTTAGTCTATATGAATCCTAGGAATAAGAAAGCAAATATTCTATATACTTTGGATCTTTTGTGAATATATTGGTAATTGATTTGCATGATTGCTTAATTTTTTCTTCTTTTTAATCCAAAATATGTCAACTCCTGACTGTTGCAGAAAATGAAGGGTCAAAAATAAAGACAGTCTCCTCTCTATCCTGTGGTCTTTCTTGCTACTGTTAGTTTGACACACCTGAGTAGAAATAAGAAAATGAGATGTATTAACTTTTGTCCTGGGTTGGTCCTGCAGTGGGAAATAATCACAGAAGGTCAGAAATGAATAATTTGCTGCTATTAGGGCATTTAAGGTAAACAATCAATATCATACTTTTAATGCACATTATTATCCAAGTAAAAATGATATTTTGATTCTATTTAACTATTTTTATATAGCATTCTAATGTCACTTTACCACAGTAGCCACAGCGTGATACTTAAGTGCTTTGTGGATGGCATAGAAGATAATAAATAAGCAGATTGCTTTTACTTAAATAGTAGGAGGCAGGACAATTACATTCAGGGAAAACATGTACTGGAAAAATCCTGTAACTGTTTTTACTATAATCCATTCACTACTTATTTAAACTTTGGAATTTATTTTTGTCACCTACTTATTTATTAGTGATACAAGTGATGGTATATGAACGTACTGAAGCTTTAAGAGATTTGGATACATGGAGACATTGTATGTTAGAAGAAAATACCTAGCACTATATATCTCCCTACCACCGAAAAAGGGAGGGGGGATTTTTTTGCAATACAGTTGGGAATGCTGCTTTAATCCCGTAAACTGTTATTCAAAATACACTAAATGTGAAATGCATCAACCAAAATGGAGTTGGGGGAGGGAATGACTTCCCTAAGGGTGTACAATAATATTAGCAAGATTACAGACCTTTAATTTTTTCAATCTAATTGAATCCAATAGAATTACTGTAGGTTCTTTAGAGTCACCATATCCTGCTGGGCGACTCTAATCTAAATATTGCTAGTTAACCTTGTTTTTCAAAAATACATTGGAAAAAGCTAAATGGAACCTCTTTCCATAATCAGTTTACATTATGTTACACACTAACTGTTGATTACATTTTCCAGAGATGCATTATTTCCCTTACACTACCTGAAATGATTTTTCAACAATAACACTAAACTTTGGCTTAAATAAAATAATTTTGTTTTTAAAGAAAAGCATTTAAGTCATAAGTAAAAATAGATAAGAGTTTAGAGAAACTGGAAAAAAAAATAGACTAGAATTAAAGGTAAAACACCTTCTGGTGGACTGTTTTTTATAAATCAAAGCAAGTAATTGAATATATGGCACTCTGGAAAAAAATGAAATATTTGAAAGGCTGTGCAAAACATAGCATATGTTTTATTATTGAAACTCCTGTAAACCAATAAAAACAATACACATTATATTCGACGTCATGCTTTTAAGAGATTAGCATTCGATTTGCAAAATCTCAATAGGTTCCTTTTGCACATGAAAATATTTTTCTAATTTTGTGTTTCTTTTACTAAAACTTCTGAGATGCTCACTTTATTTCACCCATTTATGTTAGAAATATAATAATAGCATTAAGAGGCTGTTATTGCTGTTGGGCATATCAAAAATGTCATAGCAATCTTTGTTCACTGATCTGTTCAGAGCTTTTTAAAAGATGTTAATTATGGCTTCTCTTTTCTAGCATGACAAGTACTTTTTATTAATGTAAGCACTATAAAAATAATAAAGCCCCTACTTTATCCTTACCTTCGTCTTCCCCCACCCCCATTATTATTGTTGTTGTTGTTTTTTAATCGTAAAACAATTCTAGGCAGCAAGAGTAGTATGTTGCTTGAGCTAAGGCTGGGCTGTTAGCTAAATTAAGCCATTGTGACTCAAAATCCTCCTTTAATAAGGTTCATGCTGTCTACAACTTCATCATTTTCGCTGAATGATAATTACTTTATTCAATCATGTTCAAGGTTTTAGTGAAAGCTAGCATTGATTGATTAACTTCAATTACCATGCTTACATTTGCATAGATAAAAACTGCTTTTCAATTTGTGAGTGGCACGCCAGTGGAAACCCTGCGCTGATATTTGCATTTCAATGTGAACAGTGAAGAATAAAGGTGGAAGAGAGGTCTGATCAGTGCTAAGCCCTTTCTGCTTCAGTGCTTAAGCATTTTTCCATAAACACTCTTGTTATGATGTTAGTTTGTTCAGACCACTCTGAGGTAACTGATGGAGGCTCCTGTTTACAAGCTTTCGTGGCAACTGAACAGTATGGATTAGGGGGAAAGGACTCACACAGTAGCTTGCAGGCTGGCCACCAAGTTAAAGAAGAATGAAATCTCTTCCTGTAGCCTGTCACAGCAACTCCCAAATGCCAGCAGTGCTTCGAAGAACAACCTCTCTGCAACTGATTGGCCCAAACCCGGTCTGACCTTACAAGAGCTAGTGCTTTCTTCCTTGAGCAGTCTGCTGGTCTAGGACCAAGTGTTGAGATTTCATCAGTCGGACTTTCTGTTCAAACCCAAGGAAGGGTCCAAAGTAAAGTGAATAAGTCCTTTTCATTCATACCATGTAGGCCCCATAACAAATATTTACTTATGCTATATTCAGCGGTCATTATCACTACATAGTTTGAGTAACCTGATTTTTGGCATGTGGGTAAGACAAGGCTTGTCCTGTTTTCTTTACCCCTTGGTGGTTCAGAAATGCAGAGATTTGGTCCTTTTCTGCATATCAGTGATTTATCAGGGCCATATTATTCTTTAACTAACCCTGGGAAGTTCAATCTTTATAAAATCACAAAAGCACCTAACCAGAGAGATAGTTCTCAAATCAATGCAAGCCTCTTATTTTCTTCTTCAAGATAGGCAACTAAGTGGAACATCTTGTCAATATAAAACTCAATAACTTGGGGGGAGTTAATATTTTGAATCTAAACAGGTTTGACACGTAGTGGCATTCAGTAAGTCTTTTTGGCTTGCGATAGCTTTGAAAATGAAAACTCCTACCACCCCCAGGATGTTTCTAGTTGAGCACCAGAGAGATTTCCACCGCCCACCACCGCCCCCCACCAAAAAAAAAGTCTTTCAGTTGTTAGGACAAGTAAGTAATGCCATTAAAAATATGTCATCAGATCCAACGTGACTTTACACGGACATCCAGGCTTCCATTAAGTAAACTTGAAGATGCATAGGAAATTACCTATACCTTTTAAAAATCCATATACTAATGCATGTATTGTTTCTATGATAAATATTAAAATCATTTGAAGGGCAAATTGCATGTGATTTTACATAAGTTTTTTTCTTTATCAAATCAAAAATCCTCTAGGGGCTTCACATAATTTTTAAATGTTTAAAGATAGAATGAAATGTCATCTTTTTCTGAAATCTTACATATGTTCTGATCTGTAGCTCTATAATTATTCTTTAATTAAATTAGGATATCCATTATAATGCTGCACCAGTCTCCTACCCCCAAGTTTGAAGTACTGAGAAATGCTGCTGTGTGCTGTATACTTAAAGATTGGTCCTGTCCATTTGATAGGTCCCTGGTCCCACCCCAAAGTTTAGTACTACACAGATTGGCAGCTGTGCCTCCCCGAGTACAGAACCCAGAAGCATTGTCATTAGTGTTGAATACCTTATAATATCCAGAGGAAGCCAGGTTCCTGGGATGGTAACTTTTGCCAAATGTGTGAATATTGCCCATTAGCCCTGGTAATATGCAACAGATGAATGAATAAGCCAATGTTGAAAGGATGAGTCTAATTGGTGATTTCTTTATATATATATCAATTAATAAAGTTTTAAAATAAAAATTTCTTAAGAAAGAAGTTCCTTAGAATGTAAAGGAAACCAAAACCAAGCAGAGATCAACAAAGCAATGTTTTGATTGACACTTGTGACAAGTAAGGGGTTTTGTGTTTCAACAGAAGTTGCTTTGTCCCATTTCCTGGAAAATGAGGGTAAAGATGGTGACATAGGAATAAAACTAGTAGACTTTACTAAGGAAAAAGAAGTTATGTAAAGAAGACAAACTGGAGAAAAATCTAAGATGTTTAAATATAATGGTAAAGAGTCTCCATCAGTTTAGACAGTTTGGCTCGAAGTATTATCCACCGAAATGTATAGAACTTTCTTTGTAGTCAGTTTTATAACTGGCATGTGAAAGAATGCTATTTTGAAAAGTTAATTTTAGTTGGGTTGGATAATTAAGTGCAGAAAAATGAAGCAGCCTTGGAAGTCAGTGAATTATGTTGTCAAATCAGCACATAACACATACAGGCATAATAGAAGGAAAAAAATACTGTAAGAATTTAAATGGGTAAAATGAATCAATAATAACAATTTTTAAAAAGTGTAAAACTCCATGTTAGTACATGAGAGTAAGCAAACTACAGATATGCTTGTCAAATGTCTGTGAGCTAAACAAATATCAATTTTGTGTTGTAAAAATGGATTTGAGGAAACAGTGCTTAAAACAATGAGTAAATACTATAGGATCGACTATATTATTTTCATTCTGAAGACAATATTTAGAAAGTTGCCCTGTGAGGAACTAACTCTGCCATTTTCTTTAAATTGGTGATCCTTTAGCATTTAAAATTTGAAAAGCATATAATTCTAAATTAAGTGTACCTCAACATTCTCAAAAGGGAGACCTCTTTCTGTCGGATTCGGCTTTGTGATCTCCTTCACATCTTCATCCCCAGTCCATTCTCAGTGCCTGTGAGACTCAAAATCTTATCCCACAAAACACGGTGTGGCATGAAGCCAGCCAGGTAGTCTCATGGGTGACTCCATGACACACTCCATAACTATCTGAAATTGTTCAGTGTTGAGCTTCAGAGGCATGAGTTCCAAGGTGTTTGTCTGAATTTTGATAGCTCTTTCTAGAAATTTGAGATAGAGATTCACTACTACAACCTTTCTCATTGTGTTTTTGCCTTCAATTACTCAGGTACATATTTTCTTCCTTCTTCATCAGTTATTTCTCCCCTGCTTTTATTTTCTTCCATTAGTACCCATTTCTCTTCAGAAAATTATTCCCTTTATCTGGCTAATCTTAGGTAGGAATGAGCTATGCTAGTACAGAGCAATTTTCTTTCCATAGTGCCACAAGTTTAAAAAAAAAAAAAGTCCATCAAAGCCAGATATTTCCAGTCCTCTTCCAAACACTTTACATTTTACATGATTATTTAAAGATAGAGATACTGCATTTAGAGACAAGTATTTTAAAGATCCTAGAGAAACTTCTTGGAATTGAAACAAATTAAAGCTTTAAATAATATCTGGGTGATACTTTGACAACGGATGTAATACCTGTAAACTGTAAATATATGGTGAATTAAATGTAATATATATTACACCTGTAAATATATGAGTGAATTAAGGAGTCATTGTAGATTAAAATCATCCCAGAAATGCCTGAATTCAAAGTCTGGTTATGTGGAAATGGAATAAACATTCTTTACATCTACATTTACTGACAACTAACAAAAGAAGCAAAGAACAGAGAAGTGAAAAACACTTTAGATGAAGCTTCAGAAAGGCATGTTGAAATTGTTCTGATTCTCTCTGGTCACCCAAATAAAAATGTGATCACTTAAAGTGAATTAAGTACAAATACAAATAGTCATCTGTTTCAGTCAGGACTTCGGGGAAACAGTTCGTTGCTGCCTCTGCCTCTCATCCCTCAACCTCCTGCCTTGATTTTTTTTCCTTACTGAAATGTTCATTATTTTGCCAATTTATTTCTACTTTTTATTTTAAATTTTTGGCAAATTATAATCCTATATAATTATGGGGTACACTGTGATGTTATACAGTGTGGGATGATTGACTCAAGCTAATTAACTATCCATCACCTTAAATACTTATCATTTATTCCTTCTGTCTAACTGCAACTCTATACCCTTTGACCAACATCTCCATGTTCTCCCTACCCACCAGCCCATGGAAACCACCATTCTACTCTGTTTCTATCAGTTCGACTGTTATAGATTCTACATGTGAGCTTTCAGATGAATTAAGGTCAGATGGATATCTAAAGCAATTGCTCAGAGATAGAGAAATAGGGTCAAAACTGACAAGATAGTGGAGTCTTACTTCCATTAAATTTATGAACATGAAAGTATTAAATGGAAAAACTTGGGGCTAGGAAGTCTGATTTCTGTTTCTTATCTTGTATCTCTCTCTTGTGCCCTCCACTCCAGCAGCTTCACTCTCCATAAAATTATGAGGATGCTGAAAAGTTAAAATTGGAGTTATCTGATTGTTCTTTGATAACTCTGTTTTGTCATCTAGTAGAAAAATCCCTGGTTTCCTCATCTGTAGCATAGAAAGGTCATTTTCTGGGTTTATTACCTGCTTCTCAGGTCATTGTTACAATTATCAGATATTTTAAAGCAATTTTTCTGTGGTATTTTACTAATTTTGCCATAGAGAAAACATACTCTTTTGTTCATTTACCCAGCATTAAAATAATTATTTTCCTTTTATCCTTGGAAAAATATAAGCTTTTAAGAAAGAAATCCAAAAGCCACAGGATAGTCAAATGAAGGAATTTTCATGGCAGTGCCAGAAAAAAAATCCTCCTTCTGTCCATATACCAGATCATTTTTTAAAAATGACATTCAAATGACAATCACATGGCACCGTCTTTGCTGGAGTTGCTATGCACGATGGTGCTAAACTCTGTATTATAATATATGGTGCAGATGGCACCTACAGTGCATTTATGTAGAGATTTTGTCCACCCCTCCAAAAAGATATATTTACTTACAATGACTCAAAACAGATGGATAGACAAATCTGTCTTCGATATTTAATACTAATATATTAATGTGCAAATGACTTATAACAATAGGTTTGTTTTCTAGAGCCTAATGCAATGGTTGCCATAAGAACACAAATTATGTGTACATTTTAATGCATCTATGCTTCATAATTATGCATGGTTGTGTGCTGTTATAATTGACATAAAATATAAAACAGGTCAAAGAGCAGCTATTAAAACTATTTTTCATTTTGCTTCTTGACAGCCGGCAACATTGGTGCCTGGTACATTTAATAGGGCCATACATGGAATGCGCAGATAGTTATAGAATTGCAACCACATTAAAGGGCTCCAGAATTTGTGACCTAATTATTTCAAACATTGTTTTAAAGCTGATAATTTTATGTAGAAGGCTCCTATTTTGAAACCAAATAGGTGCAGTACTTTAAAATAAAGAAAGAATGAGGAAGGGTATCTCGTGTGTGTGTGTGTGTGTGTGTGTGTGTGTGAGAGAGAGAGAGAGAGAGCGAGAGAGAGAGAGAAGAGTGGAATTTTATTTGGAAATAATATATGTCCTTAAATATTATGTTTTCCTGCTTAGGTAAAATGGAGAGGTAGCCTCCACCAATCTTATGTATTGACAACTAAATTTTGCTTTGTATAACTCTCAGTCTAATTTTTGTTTTTTGTTTTCCAGAACACTTAAGAATCATCTGACTAAATTCTCATTTCCTACAGAGTTCTATGGGAATCTTGTTTTCTAATTACTTAATACACTTGATCCCCCCGTGTGGGAGCTGAGCATTAATATCCTCACCCTAGCAGGGAGGAGAGAAGTCCAGGGAAGCAAAGTGACTTGCTCAAGGGCACTCAGCAAGCCCTTGCTAAGGCAGGGATTGGAATTCTGAACACCTGCATCTTGGGCATGACCTCAGGCCCTTGCTCCTGCCACCTCAAATGTTTGTAATTCTTCAGCAGGCTCCAAATATCTTCATTTACTTGTCATAAAGCTGCAGGGAACTCAGGGTGAAAGAAATGGAAACATGTACAAAATCAACCAATAGCAATGCAAACTTGACTTATAACAAGTTTCCGTTGCTGTACTTTTCAAATGCATAGATTTTTGGAACTGTAAAACAAAAACATAAAATTTACACCCAAAGAATAAGGCTTTCTTACTGTTATTATGATGCGTCAACATAGCTCATGTAATATTTCTTTGTTTCAGAATTTTCATTTTAGCATAGAAAGATAAATCTTTTTTAACAGTTGGGGCAGGATAGTTTTCCTCAGTTCTAGGAATCAACATCACATACACTTTTGTGTATTTTAAAGATGTTTCCTTTCTATTATTTTCAATAATTACAAAGTTACATAATGAAGTTAAAGGAAATTAAGAGAAAGTAAAATGAAACAATGGCTGGGGGCTGCTTTAATGTACTTCTTTGTATGGTGAGTTTTTGTCTCCTAGGAGCGCAGGGCCAAGGTGTATGCAGGCAAAAACCAGATACCAATGGATGGAATTAAAAATTGGGGGAAGAGCATCTTTAAATAAAATGGTAGAAATTTCTTATTCAATTGTTGCAGCTCAGTAAGGTCCTACTGTGGATTTGAATGCAATGGGTCTTATTGTGCATTTAAAGGAGAAAAGTTCAGAGTGATCAGCAGCGCCAATAACTGTCGCAAGAGCAACAACTGTTATATGCGGCTTCATGTATGTCAGAGGCTGGTCTAAGTGTTTGCATAGATTAATTCATTTAATATTCATAACAACTCCACCATTGGGTACTGTTACTATCCCTTTTTAAAGGTGAAGAAACGGAGGTAAAAAGGGATTGAAGGACTCTCTCAAGGTCACAAATGTGGTAAGTGGAAGAGTTGAGTTTGTGTGGAGCCTGGAGTTTGAATGGCCTTCTTTGTTCTTCCTATTGTAGAGAGATAAGAATAAGGAATAGTGGCCCGCAGCCTGTCTGATCCTAAGTGTGAAAATTCTAGTTTTAAGTATTCTTCACTAACTTAGTAAGTATACCACCCACCACAAGTCACATCAGTTTACCTAAGAAAAGCCCCATAGCGAAAACGATAGGCATTAGCAAGGCATCAGGTGAAAATGAAAAAGGAGACAGACTATTGTGACCTTACAAATTAAAAAATTTAAGCCTCTTCCAAAAGAACATACTTGATTTTACCAGAAATATGATGGCTGTGACCTAATATTGTCCTTCTGTTAGGAATCCCTAGAGCCATTATTTTGAATTCTATATAATTTCTCTTAGATACCTTTTTGACTGTGAAGGGAAAAGAAATCAAGAAACAAGGCATGGTTTTTGTTTCATTTGGTTGTTTGGTTCTTTCCCCCTTTTAACGTGTTGCTGTAAGATGAAGAATTTTAGTCTCAGAGCTCTACATTTATTTTGATATTATTGTTGCATTCCTATCCCTGTTGTGTTTATCTTTAATATGTGATAGTGAAATTTATGCCTTATTTCTGGATGGGGTGTCTGAATCTTGACATGGTATCATAAGCAGTCCTGGAAATGGTGCTGCTGCTTAGAGATGTCTTACGTCGGAATGCTACACAGTTTTGCAAGTTGGACTTGCTGTTTTCACACTGGGGTACAATTTTCCATAAAATATTCACACCAATTATAATGCAAAATGCCAAAAGTTATAAATATTATCTACATCAACTAAAGAGTGAAGGGTACAACTAAAGAATGAAATAGACTGAATTATCAAAATCAATCTATTTCAGCATAAGGTCTCAGATCCTAAGATACATATAACATAAACCTTATTGTATCATGAGCCAAGGAAATCATCACAATGTTTTTCAAACATTGGCAATCCAACAAAGGAAGCTACTTTCTCCTCCCATCCCTTTTTACCCCTACCTAATTAGTCAGTTGCCAAATTAAACCAACTCTGTCTATAAATATTTTTCTCACTTGTCCCATCATATTCATCCAGGGTTAATTTGGGATTGCATCATTTCCACCTGATGGAAATCTGCTGTCTCCTAAACTTTTTTCTCTGGCCTCAACATCGACCAATAACTAAGCACCCACCACCATTGTCATTCTGATCTGGTCTTCTCTGTTGAGGCCATTCTCTTATTTCTAAAAATCTGCTTATGTTTGTTCCTTCCTAAAAAGCCTGTAACAACTCATACAAGGTGAAGAGACAATTCACAACCTGGGACCTGTCTACAGTGCCAGGCACTCCCCACATTTGCCCTACACCTTAATGACACAGAACTACTCACCATTGAGCCACACTGTGGTCATGCTTCTTGTCTTTGCAAATATTTTTTGCAGCGTAGACAGCCTCCTTTTAGTTCTATTTCTCTTCTACATAATTTCCTCTATTTTATTATTTTTATTTTTATTTTTTGTAGAGACAGGGTCTTCCTATGTTGCCCAGGCTGGTCTTGGACTCATAGGCTCAAGAGGTCCTCCCTCCTCGGCCTCCCCAAGTGCTGGGATTACAGGCTTGAGCCACCACACCCACACAATTCCTATATTTTAAGACCCAAGCTCAATGTTAACTCCATCTCTAAAATTCTTTTCTCCTTCCTTTCCTCTAGTCTCCTGTCCCAGGAAAAATAACTAAATCACCTTCCCCATACTTTCTTCCCTATCCTTCTTCAAACCTTGATTATACTTCTATTATAGTCATTACAATGTCTTATTATCTTGTCATCCACCTAACTATTCTGATAGAAAATCATCCCTTCCTGGTCAGTGACATGGGCTTATTCACCTATTTATCCCCAGTCAAGAGCCTTGCAAGCAATGAGCACTCAATAAACGCCTACTAAACTAAAACTAAAGCCAGTTGTCTCCTGGGTCACTAGGTGTCTGCTCAGCAGTATTACTGAGCACAGTCGTGGTTGTTGAATGCATGAGCTTCTTTTCCGTACAACAATGAGGAGAGAAGCCAGTGGGTTACATTCTGGGCATAGTGAAAGGTACCCATGGAGACCACAGGGATTTGCCCTCAGGAACTCTTGGCTAGGGAAGGAGCACACTTCTTGGTTCTCTGTGTACTTCCAACTCCTCCCTAGAACTCTAAACTCCTTTGGAATTTGCACACAGGAGGTTCCAAAGGATCTGTATAGTGTTTCTGTTTCTCAGCTTTGCATGATGAGGAGAGTGCGGGGGCAAGGTTGGAAAGAAGGCAAACATCCCTTTTCTTGCATAAGCATATGCTGGGAACCCTCCCTGGCCTCTAGACAAGGGAAAGAGCCAGGCTAAATGTGTGATGCTAAAAGATTTGAGGGAAAAGAAAGAAAATAGATGGCACATTTTATAAAACTGAAACTCGTAGGATGTCTAGGAATTCAAAACACTTTTATTGCCTTAAAAAACTTAACGTGGCACTGGCTTTATGTATGTCTATTTTTCCGGTAACATAAATGGGAATAAAGGGCACTTCTTGTATCTCAATGCTGTACATCCCACTTGTTATTAGCAACACAGGCTTACATTGTAGCCCACGTTGTGCCTAATTACAACTAGTCTTTATAAGCAGCTAGCAGAGTAGATGGTGTCAGTTCAGATTTCAGCTTGCAGATGACACCGGGGTGGGGAGTGGGTCTGTAAATCTGAAATACAACAAGAAGGATGAATCTCAAATAAACTGGCAAAGACAAGACTCACTTATCCCTGCATTCTGTTGCCTTGTCTTGGACTCAAAGTGATAGAAGGGAAGGCAGGTTAGAGGCTGTTATTGCTATCAGTGGTACAAAATATTCTCTGACAATTGTTGAATAAGGCCCTAGGGAGAGAGAAGTACAAAAATGAATGTAGGCTTTTGTTTCTCCAAATGTCAAAGGTTACTAAAATAGGAATGAGAAGAGATGCAATGGAAACTTTTGGAAGTGCTGTATTGTGTCATTCTATCTGAATCTCATTCAGGAACAGCCAATAGCCCTTGTTCCTTGGTGAGCATGTTTTCTAATTTCTAATCCCCTACCCCTACCCCACCCCCATTCCCACTAAAATAAAAAACAAGCTTGAATTAGAAGTAAAAGCAGGGAAGGAGGGGTGGAGTGAAGAGGATATTTTTAGGGTTTTTGAGTTTCGTAAGAATTCATTTTTTCACAAATTTTAATTGAAAATATAGTGTTATACAAAGTAGAAAAACAAACAAAAAAAAATTCAAAACGTATAGGAAGCATGCTAAACTCACCTGAAATCTTACTATTTGGGGATAACCACAATTAGTGTTTTGATGACCATCCTTTCAACACATCACTTTTTCGCATGTACATGTATGTTGATGGTATATCATAATCCTGTTCTTATCATGGATACATTGCTCTTTTATTTTTATTTTTTTACTAATTCTACTCCTTACATATCTAATGCAATGTATGAGGCTACCTATTATATTTCTCAAAGTACTTGTTATCACTTTGTAGCCAAGTAGTAGGTTATTTGTTCTTTAGCTTGAATGTTAAAACATCACTCATGGACTTACCACCTATTTGGATTTACTCCAGTTTGAATTGCCTATTTATATCCTTTGCCCATTTTTAAATTGGGATTTTTGTGTTATAAAAAATTAGTGAAGTAATCCTTTATATGCATTTAAATATTCTTTTGGCTTTATTAGTGTTTTTTTGCAGTACAAGTATAATTTAATTTTATGAAGTCAAACATGTCTTTTATAGTTTCTGGTCTTTTGTCTTTTTTACAAAGCTCTCCAACCCTTACTTAATACATATACACTAAGTTTTTTCATGCTTGTTATTGTTTTATGTTTTACATTTAAATCTTTCATCTATTTGGAGTTTATTTAATTCCTGTGATCTAGTTTTTCTATTTTCAGGTAAAGAAAATTCTCTTTTGAATATAATAACTTTATAGTATGTTTTATTATCTAGAAAAGTAAGTCCTCATTCACTATTCTACTTTTACACAATTAACTCTAATGTTTTCAGACATCTACTCTTCCAAAAGAAATTTAGTTAAAAGAAGCTCTTTTGAAATTCTAAGCGGAACTGCATGAGATGTGTACAACAACTTTGAGAGAATTGACAATTCTATAATTCATTTTCTCTTCAAAATAATTTTGATGATGTGAGCCCTTCATGTGAAGTTGTACAACCTTTTCCTGGAAGATTCATATAATCTTCTATAAAACAATTAGAACCAGAAAACTAGCAGTCTCCTTCCCAAAGCCTTTGAATATTTGAGAGAAACAACAACTCCTGTGATATCTCAGCTAGGACGACAGACAAGAAAGATACTCAGATGTTCAGATATTAAGCATAGATCTATGCCTATATTTCCTCCTATTATACTTCCAAGATTATAGCTTATACTCAAAACTGCTTTTTGTTTGTTTGTTTGTTTAGCAAAAGCCACAATTATCTCAAAACTATACTTGGTCTTGTGACATTTTTTTTTTTGAAATAGCATCTTGCTCTGTCACCCAGACTGGAGTGCAGTGGCATGATCATCACTCACTGCAACCTCCCCCTCCAGAACTCAAATGATCCTCTCACCTCAGCCTCCCGAGTAGCTGGGACTACAGGCACGCGCCACCATGCCTGGCTAATTTTCTTTTGTGTGTGTATTTTTTGTAGAGACAAGGTCTTGCCATATTGCCCAGGGTGGTCTTGAACTCCTGGGCTCAAGCCATCTGCCCGCCTTGGCCTCCCAAAGTGCTGGAATTACAGGCTTGAGCCACCATGCCTGGCTACTTTTTGACTTCAGCATTTCTAACACTGGAAGGCTGTTTCATATACTCTGTTTTGTATGAATTCTGCACTATATGGCTTTGAAAAATATTGTTATGGTTCTTTTCTATTATAAAAGTAGTATATGATTATTACAAAAATCTAAATGTCATAGAAATATCCCAGACATGAAAAAAAGCCACAATTTGATCTTTTCTTTCAGAAGATTTTTCATTCAAAATGAGATTAGACTATACTTGCTATAACTTGCACTTTCACTTACCTACTTACTTTATATATATATATATAATGTCAGTACATACAGATCTTTCTTATTTTTAATGGCTGTGTACTATTTCATTATGTATAAGTAACCATATACATACACAACTTCTAGTTATGTATATTAGAATGATTTCCAAATCAATGCTTAAACAAATATCCTATGTAATTGTGCAAAATTTTTGAATATAGTAATAGAAATGATAATACTTTGCCAAAGGGCCTACATATTTAAAATTTTAATTGATATTATCAAATTGGCCTTTAAATTGGCAGAGATCTCTACCAACAGTGTATTAAAAGGCCTGTTTTATAGTATCATCATTAGTTCCAGGTTTTGAAAAACTCCAGAACTTTGCCGTTAGCAATCTTCCCAAACGGTAGGATGTGTGTTGCCATAGATGATAGAACGATAGCACAAATGTTCAATAACACCTTCTAATGGTTTCTGTCTTAGGAAATCAGCAGGAAGATGTTGGAAATATCCCTGTTGATACTCAATATTCTGTCCTCATTATTGAAAGAAAATACAATGAGTCCACCATTTTGAAGCATAAGCCTGAAGTTGTTTTTCCACCTGAATGACGATTTTGAGCTTCATCAGGTCATATAATTTCTTCTGTTGAAGTCAAATGTGTTCATTTGTGATATGGCTTTTAAAGGTAGCTGAAACTCAACGTGTCCACAATGAATCTATGTTTTTTTCTCAAATATGTTAATCCTCCAAATCTCCTTCATCTTGGGGAATGGCACCCTCATCATGCCCACCATCAGCTGTCTCAGCCTAAAACCAGGCAGTTATTTTTAATTCCTCCTTTTCCCTCTTTGCCACTTTTTAGTCTATATATATCTGATTAAATCTACCTCCAAACATGTCTCAAGTCTAAATTCTTTCCATTTGTACTATCCCTTTGCTTAAAAATCTCCAATGGCTTGCTCTTGTCTTTAGAACCAAATTCATACTTTGTAAAATGGCCTCCAAGCCTGTCTATTATTTTTTCCCACATAATTTCTCCACTAGTTCCCTCTAGTTGGAACATGCTGGCCTTCTTTGTATTTTGCAAATATGTCAAGATTTTTCCATCCTCCAGGGCTTTGGCTTGCCGTTCTGTCTACCAGCTTCATTGTTTCCCTTGCTTTCTTCATGACTGGCTTTCTCTCATCATTCAGGACACAGATCAAATGTCACATCTTCAGAGAGGCTTTCTCTGACCACCCCATCTACAATGGGTCCTCCCCATGTAGCACTTACCACTAGCTTAAGAATATTTTGTGCATTTATGTTTAAATTGCTTGTCGCTTTCTCTTTCCTAATCCTAGAAATTATGATCTGTGAGAACAGGACCTTTTCTTGTTCACCTGTGTATCTTCTGTGCCCATAATAGCATTTGACACTCAGAAAGCACTCAATACATATTTAATGAATAATTTTGTTAGGCCCAGGCTTGTGGTCATGGCACTCACGGAAGACCTAACTTTCCCACTTTTCTGTAAACACACTTGACACAATGAGAAACTGGAATCTGAGTGTGCTAACTTTGCTCAGCTAGCCCAGGCTTAAATGCCTTTGTTAAACTTGTATAGCAGGAAGGCAAATTAGGTCTAGAATCTAGAGCTCATATCCGTTTATAACAGTCAAATAACAGCATTGTGAAGGTGAAACTATTTGGGGGATTTGACTGAAAAACATGAAAGTTTTTTTGTTTTTAATCATTTTAAGCATAATTGGGTACTTTTTCAGAATTCTTTTGGTTGTTTTCATTGAAGTATACGGTATTAAGCAATAGAGAAGTATATGCAGTATACCGTATATGCAATACGGAGTTATTGCATACGGTAAAATCACAAAGTCTACAGGTCAGTAAATTTGTATAGACAAATAATGCCCTATGTAGCCATTGTAGATCAAGAGATAGAACATTCCCATCATCCTTTCCTCATTCCTCTTCTATGTCAATACCCACCTCCCAGAGGTAGTTGCTATTCTGATTTCTGTCACTGCAGATTACATTGTCCTGTTCTTGAGCTTCCTATAAGTAGAATCATAAGTACCTACTGTTTGAGTCTGTCTTCTTTCACTTAACCCAATGTCTGTGAGATTCATCCATGTGTTAACTGCTATGAGGTCCATCCTCCTCTTTATTTGCTAATGGTAGCCTGGGATTACTTTGGGTTCATTCCAAAGCACAATGTTAACTTTTGTACTTTAAGGTTCTTAAAAACCTGGAGTGCCAATTTGGTGGCAGTCTCATTTAAGGGCTTTGAATGCCATTCTTGTGGAATGTATCAGGAGAGTTGAGCTAGGTAATTATCTTAATCCAACTGAAATAGTTGGTCACAGTATACATTAGATGAACATCTTGAATCAAACTTGAATATGCAGTCAACCTGAACAAAATGAGCTCAGTCACAGAGGGCCAGATTTCTTAATTAGTTCTCAATGGCAAGAACATTTTATGTTTCCAAAAGTCAAGTACAAATTCTACAAGTGACACAATTCAAGAAGACTTCATAAGAGCGAAGTAAACAGGGCCTCCCACTGTCATTGGCAGCATCTGAAGCCATATTCATTTATTTCTCACTGTTAGTGCTCTTAGAAGCACCAACATGCTATAATAAAA
Organism: Homo sapiens; assembly: GCF_000001405.40. Taxonomy (NCBI): domain Eukaryota; kingdom Metazoa; phylum Chordata; class Mammalia; order Primates; family Hominidae; genus Homo; species Homo sapiens. The sequence goes on from NC_000002.12 coordinate 156,607,465, forward strand.
AAGTAATGGTGAACTTTATTGAGGTATTATTAAATCAAGTAACACAGTGCAGCCCCTTCTGCTTGACCTTTGGCAGGCGGTTCTCGCCTTTTTTCTTTCTTCCTTTTCTCATTCTCCCTCATCCCATTTCTGTCAAAAGAAGCATATTGTGTATACAAATCCATCTTACTACATCTTATTCACTTAATCCTTTTACACACATGTATTATTTAAAAGTGGAAAGAATTTTAAAAGGCAAGAAATAAAATATAAATAATTTTTTTGTTTTTGTTTGGTTTTGCTTTATTTGATGTAGGATAAATTATTTGTACTTTAGAGACTGTATTTATAAATGTTAGGAACAGAATGTGGTGGTACAATGTGTTGACACTTTAAAAAAAATTACTATTCATGCTAATAATGAATGCAAGCCTCCCTTCCAAGGCTCAAATCCACATCTCTTGAAACTTCACTGGGGAAATAATAATCTACCAGTAGTCAATGCTGTAAGTTACCAAATTTTTCCGTCTTCATTTATACCAGTGTCAGCCTCTCTTTCTAGGTTTACCTTCTCCCAGTCTTATATAGGTAAATTGGGAAATTGCTATTATCTGTGTTAGCAGGATACCATTATAGCAACAGCATCTCCTATGCTTGATAAAAGAAAATACACACATAATCAAAGGAAATTTAATGAGTATTACATATCTTTAATTTCATAGTTCTCTGAAGGTTTAGAATATTTTAGTACTTAGTTTTCAGCTTATTGAAATTTAGTTTTCAGTTTTTAGTCTTACAGTTTAATTGAATTGTGCGAATGGTTTACATTTCTCTTATGGATCTGAAAAGATCCACTCCTCTCATATTCACATGCTAAATGACCCAAATAGCTGGATTTCCTCTTGCCTAAGTATTGAAAACTAATCATTCTGGTAGAGAGTTTGAAACTCCATGTAAATAACATTTTTAATGAGAAACAAAAAATTGTACTTATATTTTTTATTAGCATTTATTTGGCAATATCCAGGAAATCCTTTGGCATTTATTAGAAAATAATTAACATTATCTTGAGACATTTTTTTCATTGCAAAACATCTTACTTTGAGAAACCAAATAGCTCTTGACAGTGCTAATACCTCTTCATCCAGGTAGAAATGTGAATGAAAGAACTGAGCTCTGCCCAACTTAATGGGTAACAGAAGAAAAATAATTATAGGTATCCATTAAAAATCACACTTAGTATCTAGAAAAGAAAGTAGCATGTCAAAATAAAGCTGCATGTTTCCCTTCTGATCTAATTTCAGCTTTTTCTCCTTGCCATCTGGTTGGTAAATGTGACTATGTTTGATATCATTTCACCTCTAAGCCTTCAATTCATGCCCAATTTCCTACTCCCAGTTACTCCAGCCCTTCCCAGCAAATCATGCCTTTCACCCATGAGGAACAGATAATCAAACCAGAAGAAAATTGGTGGGCTGCTACTGGTTAAACTTGAACAATACAAACATCGAAAAGAATAAGAATTGTAATTGGTTTATACGACTTAATATATAAAAATCTATAATCCTATAGTGATGCATTTTTAGTGAACAATTTAAAAAATCTCCTTCTTGCTACTATTGGAGGTGACTTTAAAACCATTTTCTTACTCTGAAATATGGTAATTTAAGGGAAAGATTCAAGCACATATCTTGCTTTTGCAGTAGAAACCATCTTTGAGGGTAGCCACAGAACCCCCGAGAGAATGTGCTAATACATTTAGAAGGAATGATGTAAAATATGTCAACAACAAGAAAAGCAGACTGTTAATAATTTTAAAACCTAGAATATATTAGTTTATGGTTATATGGGTGTTCATTATACAATTATCTCATCTTTTCCATATGTTTGAAATTTTTCGTAATTAAAAAAATTGCCACCATGCCAACAAGCAGAAAATAAAATTATAAAGATGGTTACTTGAGTTAAAAAGACAAACTTTTATAACACATGCTTTCCGTATTTCAAAACCTCAATTAAAATTACCAGCCTTATTATGAAAAGTTTCTGCAGGAGATAGGGGAAGCATGAAGGTTTAGGCAAAATCATCTCTTCCCCTAATCCAGTAAATCAAATAACCATGTTTCAATAGGGAAGGATGAGTATATCTTTATAGAATAATAAACTCCCCAGAGCTCAAAATAATAAAAGATTTCTCTTACTGGTATTTTAAAGGTTTATACCCATCTAATAAGAATATAAGACCAAACTCAGTGCCTGCATTTTGTACCCTCTGCTTTGTCTGTATCTGTAGCAGGAATGATGGACCCAGAAGTCTAGTGCCTTGCGCAGTGTTTGGCTAAAGGTAGCTAGACATCCAGCATTGTTTACCAACATCCCAGTTTTCAACCCTAGTAGCCTTTCCTCTAAGAAAGCAGAAAAGAAGCCTCCTCCTCTCCAAGAGTATCAGAGGAAATGAAGAAAATGTGGGATATATGTTTAAATATATACATATTTAAAGACTATTGCAAGTGGAAAAGATTATAACATTAAAAAACCACTCCTGGCCGGGCGCGGTGGCTCACGCCTGTAATCCCAACACTTTGGGAGGCCGAGGCGGGCGGATCACGAGGTCAGGAGATCGAGACCATCCTGGCTAAAACGGTGAAACCCCGTCTCTACTAAAAATACAAAAAATTAGCCGGGCGTAGTGGCGGGCGCCTGTAGTCCCAGCTACTTGGGAGGCTGAGGCAGGAGAATGGCGTGAACCCGGGAGGCGGAGCTTGCAGTGAGCCGAGATCCCGCCACTGCACTCCAGCCTGGGCGACAGAACGAGACTCCGTCTCAAAAAAAAAAAAAAAAAAAAAGAAAACCACTCCTCCTTAATTCTTATATAGTCAACATTGTTTAGTGAGTCCAAGATTTACATAGAATACTATATTAGATGCTCTAATGGAAATTTAGTTACAAAGGAAGTTTTAATCAACTTTGTGATTGATTTGAAAGATTTTTTTATCATATTTCAGAGCTATTGCAGTGGCATTTTCTGAATTTTCTAACCCCTTTATATCCTCATTAATGAAACAGTTAAATTTACCCTGTATTATTTAACAAATAATTTAGGTGTTCTCCACCAGTATATAGTGTTTTCTTTGTCATATATTACATACTTACCAGTGACTGTGCCTTACTACTTTCTTCCGTGGATCAGTCTCATCATAATGTTTTAATTATTTGAGCTCTGTAACATTTTAATGCCTAATAAAACAAGTAATCCCTTTCTCTTTGTTTATTCATCCAGATGAGATTTAAAATCATTTTGATGATTTCTCTAAGATTATGTTGAGTTTCTAAAACTTGGTTTGTGTTAAATCTGTTCATTGATTTGGAGACTGACAGATATAAAAGATGTAAAACTTTTTTACATGTAAGTTTACATATGTTTCTGTAAGTATATCCCCATATTGTCTACATGTATCTATCTAAATGTGTGTATAGATATTGGTATACATTTATTTGAAAATACATAGATGTATGTTATATATTTATATGCTTATGTGACATTTGTCAAGGCTAAAATTCTAACTAAATATCATTATCAGAAAAAATAAAATGGGGAAAAACATCACAAAATATCCTTCCATTTTACATTATATACATTTAACTGTTTAATTAGGAGCTTGTACCTTAATCAATTGGTGATTTATTAATAAACAAAATTTGCTCTGGGATTTCAAGGACATATTTTAATCTCACTAATCTTGCAGTTTCAGTAGCCTAGAGGTTTAAGGGCTTTGAACTGAAACAAATCTCAGTCTGAAGTCTTGCCTCAGACACTTCAATAGCTACATGACTTTAAAGCAATTAGTAAACTTAGAGTTAAGTAACTTCTCTAAGCCCAATTGCTTCACCATAAAATGGAGATGATAATACCGCCTACCTCTTAGGGTTGTTGTTAGGATTAAATGAGATGATGTGTAAAAATAATAATTCCAGTGCCTGGTTCATAGTAAGTGCCCTCAAAATGTCAGCTATTATTTCAATCTAGCATAAGCTAACACCAAGATTTCAATGTAATTCATAGGCCTTCTCCCAAACAAAGTTTAGTAACATACAAACAGTGGAAAACAGTCTGAATTTGTTTAACTTGTTTCCCACTTTGAATATTCACTAAAAATAACAGTGAAGTTCTTTGATTCTCTTTGTGCATCATTTATGGTCTTTGCCTAATTCTTCCTGCATCTCTTTGGCTTTTTTTCCTTGGACTCAGTATCTTGTACTTTTCCAGTCTTGTATTTATCTTTCACCTATTCCAATTTTGCCTAACCAGAGAGCAATGTATAAAGTGCCATAAAACTGGCTGAAACATGGGCACGGTAATCCTAGGTTAGCTGTGGCCATTCTAAGTTCAATATCTTTACTCTATCTTTTGTTTTTATTTTGTGAAGTCCTTAAGCATGAATTCCCAAGAAACCATGTCTTTAGGGTCTGCTGAATTTTGTAACCTCATTTCAATGCATATGTGACAGCTATAGACTAAATAGGCTAATGACTATAGGAAAAAATTATTTATTTATTTATTTATTTGAAACAGGGTCTCACTATGTCGCCCAGGCTGGAGTGCAGTGGCATGATCATGGCTCACTGCAGCCTTGACCCCTCGGACTTAAGCAATCCTCTTGCCTCAGCCTCCTGAGTGCTGGGACTCTAGGCACGAGCCACCATGTCAGGCTAACTTTTGTATTTTTCGTAGAAACAGGGTTTCACCATGTTGCCCGGGCAAATTGATGAAAGCCACCACCATGCCCAGCCAGGAAAAACTAATTTATTAATTAAAATAATTAAGAGGCTACTGTGGACCAGGCATGTGGTTTACGAAATAAGGTATTTATAAAACAAGTTTCAATTTGTACATCTATTTAGGAAACAATGCACATGCTTTGGAAATCCCATGTCTTCATTACAATTATTATGAAAGAAGCATTGACTGAGATTGAGTTCCTGTATATTAATGAAATACCTATTTAATTCATTACTTAAATGAGAAATTAAAACAAATACATTATTACTTTCTGATTGACATTAGAAAACTTTAGTTTAAACATGATTTTAGCTCGTGTTATCAATAGCAAGAGGATTTTCATTAGCGTATGCATTAAAATGAAATGATATGGGGAGATTTACCCCAGGTACAGAGTTGTTTGTTTTTTCTACCACTGTAGACAGTAGACTGTTTTCTAAAAAAAAAAATATAACGTGACATAATTCAGGATCATGGAATCAATAAAGTTTTAACCCAACTCTTTCTTCAAACTAATGTTTTTAAAAATGTATTCCTGATTGAAAATAAAACTAAGAATTAGCTTAATTTCTTAATTTACATTCCCAAGTTTTCAATTGCTTAAATTGAATTGATCAAAACTATACTTTTTTTTTTTTTAACAAACTGGCAGAAACGTTTAAATGCCATAAAACTCAGAGTTCTTGACTACTCTTTTATCGAGCAATGGTCCTTAAGTGATGACATCGATTGTCAAAGACATCTTCCAAAAATATAGCAATTTTTGAAAGAGAAACGAGATTGTCTTTTTAAGTAATATAACCCCTGTGCAATTTTCCTTTTTTTTTTTTTTTGACCCTTTTTATTTCCTGAGGGTTTTAAGTAAAGACCTCCAATTTAAAACCGATTATTCCGCAGGAGCTGCTTTTCCCCCTCCCCCAACTGTAACCTTGCTGTAATCTCTGCCCTGTTATTTTCTGACTTTTTCACTTTGCTTAGCACTGAGCTATAGTTAGGATATAACCAAGACAGGTGTGTGAAATATGATGTGATACAATAGTTAGAGCAGATAAGTAATTTAAAACATATTAAATATCAACCTTTTCTTTCTTTTACACTGTCAAAATCCAAAAAATTCTTTCTTACTCTGTTTTTGGTGGTGGTGGTGGTTTTCTTTTTAACTGTATGGATTTCTGTGAAGCTACATTTTTAAATAATAAAATAATCTCAGAAATTATCATTATTAATGAATCTTTATTTCTTATCTACAAGGTTCATAGCCTTCTATGAAGAGTGTGGAAGAATCACAACAATGAAGAGAAGATATGTTTCTTGGGGAGCATGTTCAATCTAATTCAAGTAGATACATGGAGTCGTGAAGATAAATTCTGATCACACCGCATTCTGGTCATCATTACCTAGTTGAAGAGGTTTATTGGAGAAGAACTATCAGTGTTTTAAAGCAGTGGTCTTCAAACGGGGGCACACAAAGACTTTCCAAGGGGGGTACATAAATATAAATAGTTTTAAGGTAATCCATTTTCAGTTTTTTTTTTCTGTTTGTTTTTCGAGACAGAGTCTCCCTCTGTCGCCCAGGCTATAGTGCTGTGGTGTGATCTCGGCTCACTGCAGCCTCTGCCTCCTGGGCTCAAGCGATTCTTGGGCCTCAGCCACCCAAGTAGCTGGGACCATAGGTGTATGCCACCTCGTCGGGCTAATTTTTGTATTTTTTGTAGAGACAGGGTTTCAACATGTTGGCCAGGCTGGTCTTGAACTCCTGACCTCAAGTGATATGCCTGCCTCGGCGTCCCAAAGTGCTGAGATTACAGGCATGAGCCACCACCACGTCCGCCCATTTTCGGTTCTTAATATTCAATATGTTCTCCCTAAACTTCCTGAGAAGTTACCAATTGCCTGGTTTGCCTTTGCCCATCTCCCTCGTTTCCCTCTCATACTTACCCCGGAGCTGAAATTGTACAATGGTGAGCTGCCATAAGTACAACCCACTCCCCTTTCTGATACCAAACAAGAGGCAGATGGACCGTTCCTTTAATCAAGGAATCACAAGCAATTGTTTATTCAGAGATAAATTTACAGTTAAATTCTATTTCTTAGGATTACTTTTTATCAATATAATCTATTTTTGAGGTTTTGATCAATTGTTTACTACTAATAAAAGTAATGACAACTAAAACCAAACGACATATTTTAACAATGCATTGTGTGCATTGTAATAACATTTTTATTATTTTAACCTGAGCATTATGGTCACAGGAAAATTTTAAACTAAATTTACGTATATATTGCTGCAAAGAATTATGATAGGGTGATCAATAAAGATTTTCAAGCATAAACGTATATTACTTTAGGGTAACATTCTATAGGGGAAGTGGAATGAAAATACAATTTCAAGGACAAAAATTTCTAACTTTGTTTTTTAATGAATAATGAGTCTCAACTTGTTATAGTATTTTTATCTCATTAAAGACATTTAACAGAATGGTGTAACATTTAATTTTATTTATTTATTTTTTATTATACTTTAAGTTCTAGGGTACATGTGCACAACGTGCAGGTTTGTTACATACGTATACATGTGCATATTTATAACATTCCAGAAATTGGCATCTTTTGAAATTAATTATATAAAATATATGTTATACATGTGCTAAGGTGTGCATAATTAACATTCATTTGGTGACATTAGAGCAAAACATTGGAAAACCTCTGTTCTAAAGGATAGTTTCTGCTTGGTAGTTAAGTCATTTCTTCTAATATTTAAAAAATCTGGCTCTAGTAATAATATATTGCAGTAATTTCATGATAAAACAAAAGAAAATCCCTATCATGAAACTTTCAAGGGAGTCCAAGCTGATCTGAACCTGTATTGAAGGATGCGAGAGCATAATTCATCAATGGGTTGGCGGAATATGGATTCATTTTCTACTTTTAGTCATTTCAGCTGGATGTAATAAACTGCTTTCTCTCTAAATGCAGCTTTGTCACACTTGTTCTCGCTAGTTACGGGTTGCTAGTTGCTAGTTTCCTGTTGCCGCTTTTAGTTTTAGAGTGACAGCCTAGCTCAATTTATCAATCACTACAATACCAGTTTTCGGGGGCAAATGGGCAGCACTGTGAAGTCTGAGAGTGGGGTGTTACTGGAACCAGGTTGTAAACAACAAAATGTTACTTTCAAAATCTCTGGGTTGGAAATAAAAAGTCAATAACAACCTGCTGCTCAACATCTTATGTCAATTTCTGGGACTAAATGAAAGAATATAATGTTTATAGAGAAGAAAATCAACAATAAATGACTTGTGTAAATAATAATTGGTATATATACATATACTACCCTCTTAGCTATCTTGGGCAATGTAATTATAACACATCAGAAGAAGAATTAAAATTCATATGGCTAGGCAAAATGTTTTAAGATAAATAGGTAATCCTTGAGGATTAACAACACTCTTCCAATTTAAGGGAAAAAAAGTTGTCTCATAACGAATGTTACAGTCAGTTGCCTGAGTTAGTGTTTCCCATAAAATGCAACTCCCAGAAATACTCCTGAAAAGAGAAGAATCTACAGCTTGCAACACTATAATGTACTTTTTCTGAGTCTTGATTTCTCTAGAAATTAAAACATTCAGTTTGGAAATATGGGGCAAGACCAGATTGTAAACTGCAAATTGTTAAATACTTCAAAAGAAAGAAACAATACAATAAGTTGGTTATGTAAATTGGATTATACTAGTGGCAGAATGAAAAGTGAACTAGAAGCAGCCACAGAAGAAACAAGAAGGCTGTTGGAAGGAACTGCTGTAGTCTAGATAAGGGGTGACGATAGTTTAGTCTAGGGTGTGGCAGTGGAGAACAGGGAGAATGGAAAGGTTTAAGAGCTATCTGACAGATGAAATGGAAGGAAATTGATGATGAGTGGAGAAAGATATGTGAGGATGGTCATGTCAAAAGTTACTCTCAGGATTTTGGCTTAATTCTAAAGTAAGAAATGATGCTTTAAAAAATGTTTTTCCTCATAGATAGTCTTAATGTTCTCATACATGTGGATAAATTGCCAGGTGTATTCTCTTCAAGTAAAGACAACTTTAGAGGGCACACGTTTAGATTTTTGCAAATTATGTTCCCTCAACAGGTGTTTTAAGAGCTCCAAGAGGCACTACGTAATAAAGTAGAAAGGTGATACAATTGCGAAGTTAAAAAATGCAAGTTGCAATGCAGTTTCTATGGTATGACCACATTTAATTTAAGCCCTAAAGCTCTGTATTTGCACATGGACATCTATGATATACATAGAAAAGTTCTTAAAGGAGACTTGAAACTGTTAAAAGTGGTTATATTGGGGAAAAGAAAGGAATGGGAGTTAATGAAGGTGACAATTTAATTACCATCTATACCTCTGTATTGTTAGAATTCTTAACAGTAAAACATATATATCTACAGTTAAGATAAAACAGAACAAAAAGAGTGATATAAAGTTGTCTTATTGTCTTTGGTGAAAGACAATATACTAAATGTCTTGGACAACTGGTGTAAGTAAGTGCCAGGCATATTGGTAAGGTCAGAGGTGTGCAAATGATTACATTATTTCTTATTACTAGCATCCTGGGATAGAGAGAGAAGGTCTGTGCTCAGGCAGTGGACGTGGATTCTAACTGTTACTATGCTGCTTGATATCACAGGACTCTGGGCCACTCAATTCATCCTCAGGTTCTCAGGTTCCTTATCTGTTACATTAGAAGGTCAGGCTAAATCAGGGGTGGCAAGCCAATTAGCATGGCCCCCATTCTCCAAACTCTCACTCTTGGTAGGTATTTCTTTTTTTCTTCTTTTCTTTTCTTTTTTTTTTTTTTTTTTTGAGACGGAGTCTTGCTCTGTCACCCAGGCTGGAGTGCAGTGGTACGATCTCGTCTCACTGCAAGCTCCGCCTCCTGGTTGGTAGGTATTTCTGTGTCCGGAATTGGTGGGTTCTTGGTCTCACTGACTTCAAGAATGAAGCCGCGGACCCTAGCGGTGAGTGTTACAGTTCTTAAAGGCGGTGTGTCCGGAGTTTGTTCCTTCTGATGTTCAGATGTGTTCGGAGTTTCTTCCTTCTGGTGGGTTTGTGGTCTCGCTGGCTCAGGAGTGAAGCTGCAGGCCTTCGCGGTGAGTGTTAAGCTCTTAAGGCGGCACTTCTGGAGTTGTTCGTTCCTCCCGGTGGGCTCGTGGTCTCGCTGGCTTCAGGAGTGAAGCTGCAGACCTTCACGGTGAGTGTTACAGCTCGTAAAGGCAGTGTGGACCCAAAGAGTGAGCAGTAGCAAGATTTATTGCAAAGAGCAAAAGAACAAAGCTTCCACAGTGTGGAAGGGGACCCAAGGGGGTTGCCACTGCTGGCTCCGGCAGCCTGCTTTTATTCTCTTATCTGCCCCCACCCCCCGACATCCTGCTGATTGGTAGAGCCGAGTGGCCTGTTTTGATAGGGTGCTGATTGGTGCATTTACAATCCCTGAGCTAGACACAAAGGTTCTCCACCTCCCCACTAGATTAGCTAGATACAGAGTGTCACACAAAGGTTCTCCAAGGCCCCACCAGAGTAGCTAGATACCGAGTGTGGATTGGTGCATTCGCAAACCCTGAGCTAGACACAGGGTGCTGATTGGTATGTTTACAAACCTTGAGCTAGATACAGAGTGCCGATTTGTGTATTTACAATCCCTGAGCTAGACATAAAGGTTCTCCAGGTCCCCACCAGACTCAGGAGCCCAGTTGGCTTCACCCAGTGGATCCCGCACTGGGGCTGCAGGTGGAGCTGCCTGCCAGTCCCGCGCCCTGCGCCTGCACTCCTCAGCCCTTGGGTGGTCGATGGGACTGGGCGCCGTGGAGCACGGGGCAGTGCTCATCGGGGAGGCTCGGGCGGCACAGGAGCCCATGGAGGGGGTGGGAGGCTCAGGCATGGCGGGCTGCAGGTCCCAAGTCCTGCCCCGCGGGAAGGCAGCTAAGACACCGAGAAATCACCTAAGATTTCTTGGTGAGAAATCGAGAGCTGCGCCGGTGGGCTGGCACTGCTGGGGCACCCAGTACACCCTCCGCAGCCGCTGGCCCGGGTGCTAAGCCCCTCATTGCCCGGGGCTGGCAGGGCCGGCTGGCTGTTCCGAGTGCGGGGCCCGCCAAGCCCACGCCCACCCGGAACTCCAGCTGGCCCGCAAGCGCCGCGCGCAGCCGCGGTTCCCGCGCTCGCGCTTCTCCCTCCACACCTCCCTGCAAGCTGAGGGAGCCGGCTCTGGCCTTGGCCAGCCCAGAAAGGGGCTTCCACAGTGCAGCGGTGGGCTGAAGGGCTCCTCAAGTGCCGCCAAAGTGGGAGCCCAGGCAGAGGAGGCGCCGAGAGCGAGCGAGGGCTGTGAGGACTGCCAGCACGCTGTCACCTCTCATTTCTAACCCATCATGGCTCTCTTTCTGCTGAGACGAGATCTACCAATTGGAGTTGGCACCCTAGAAGAAAGGTATTTGTCATCACAGATCACAGATTACCTGGAGAGGCATAGTAGCCTGTTAGAAAGAGCATAGGCCTTGGAGACAGGCAAACCTGGATTACATTTTTCAGTGCCATTTACTGAGCTGTGTAAATTCAGACAAATGAATTAACCTCTCGGAGCTTCAGTTCTTTCATCTGTAAAATAGATACGATACTTCCTACCTCAGTAGTTTGAATGTGTCCCCTCCAAAATTCAAGTGTTGCCATTTTGATAGTGTTAACAGGAGAATTTAATTACACTCAGATTTAAAAAAAGGTATTAAGAAGTGGGGCCTGAAAGAGGTGATTAGGCCATGAGGACACCTTCTTCATTAATGGGATTAAATCCCTTATTAGAGAGCCTTCACAAAGCATTTGGCTAGCTTGCTCTTCTGCTTTCTGCCATATAAGGTCTTATCAAGAAGGCCCTCAACAGACCAAGTGCTGGCAACTTGATCTTGAATTTCATAGCTTCCAGAACTGTGAGAAATGAACTTGTGTTCTTTATAAATTACTCAATCTCAGTGTTTTGTTATAGCCACACTAACAGACTAAGGCCATTATCTATTTTTGTTGTTGTGTGCCCTGTTAGGAGCTGCCTCCTCTCAGCTCCTCAAACTAAAAATGCTTACATCGGCCAAAATCTATTTCTTCATCCCAGTTAGTTCAGCAAAGATAGACTATACTATTCAAGGCTTCAGTCTCAATGCCAATACACAAGGGCTCTGCACAGACCTTGCAGATACCTCATCTGTGCACGCAGCTTTAGAGGTATGATACTTGATATTCAAGAAGGGAATCAAAGTGGAGTGGTTTCTCTTTGAAGAGCAATTTAAATATCCTGTGTTGATCTTCAGTCATGAACAGGAGTGGTCTTTGTATGAATTGAGAAGCCAACAAAAGTGGCTGTGTCTCTGCTCCCCACTCCCAATTTGGAAACCCTGTGAGCATGACTAGGTGGTCTGTATGATGTAATTTGATTTGTTAGAATGTGAGTGGCTTACAACCATCATTTGCGAGTAAATTACTTAGCCGTATTCTTCTTTACGACTGGCTGAAGAAACTTACTTGATGGTATAATATAATTTATTCCTGTGAATAAGTGAGTGACCTTCACATCTCAATCCATCTCCTGTGAGTTATGGGCCTTTTTTCACTCAGGAAAATGGCCTGTGTTTTACCACTGCCTACCATTTTCCACATTCCATTCCACTAATTGTGTACGTAAATAAGACAGTCTAAGATGCTGAAGAAAATTATATTAACATGCTAAATACCAAAATAATTCTTGGTGTATACCAAAGCATCTTTTTTCTAAAGATCTGCAAGCAACATTTAAACATTTTGTTTCTGTATTGACAGTCCTCTTAGCTAGAGTAAATCAATAGTATTAATCCCATTTTATAGATGGGAAAACTAAGGCTCAAAAAGAAATTGGCAACCTGGAGCCCAGTGGTACAGAGGCAAGTCATAGAACATGTAGCAGGAAAGGAAGTGGCTAAGTGGTGTATGGAATACACTGATATACTGGATTTTAGATTGTTTGTATAGTTTGTATTCTACTTTGCTTAATGAATGATAACTAATATTTGTTGAATTTTACACATGTTGTAGGCATTGTTCTAAGCATTTGACATAAACTGGATTACTCAGTCCTGGTGATAGTCCTTTGAGGTGGTCATTATAATGAATATCCTCATTTTATGGATGAGACAAGAAAAAGTAACTTGTCCAGGATCACAACGGGACAGGTGAAAAGCTATCAAATCAGAATATGTGATGGATTTTCTTGACTTCTTACTGATTTGTTTCCAAAGGGAGTTGAAGAGACTTCAGAATTCACTCGGTTTAATATTTTTCAGGATGTTATGATTGTACCATTCTGTATCCCTAATCCTAATCTAAAAATGATAAATGGCAAACTCCTAGGCTTTTTATTTTTTTGAGGGAGACTGCATATTAAATTGCTTGTTTATTTATTTTTGAGACGGAATCTCTCTCTGTCGCCCAGGCTAAAGTGCAGTGGCGCGATCTCAGCTCACTGTAATCTCTGCCTCTCAGGTTTAAGCGATTCTCCTGCCTCAGCTTCCCAAGTAGCTGGGATTACAGGTGTGTGCCACCATACTCAGCTAATTTTGTATTTTTGGTAGAGATGAGGTTTCACTATGTTGGCCAGGTTGGTCTCAAACTCCTGACCTCAGGTGATCCACCGCCTCAGCCTCCCAAAGTACTGGAATCACGGGTGTGAACCACTGTGCCTGGCCTAATTCGCTCTTTTAGCAAGTTTTGAGATGATTCCTGCACACACTAAATTTTGAAAATCTCTGATTTGTTTTCACATGGTTCTCTATGCAGCCTAGGAGGTGCTCTGATGGCACTGAGCAGCCATAAGGAGGAATGAAGTAAGTGGGATGGGAAGGTGGTCAGCACTTAACAGGTGAAGCTCACCCCTAGTTCAACTTTAGTTCCTCTGACTTTCTCCTTTATATTTTGAGGTTTTCAATAAGATTTAATGTGAAGGGTCCTACAGATTAAAAAAATAAATAAATAAAGTTGAAAATCCAGCCTAGTTCAATTTCCTCTCCACCCACTTTATAGAGTCAGAGACTAAGACTCAGAGATAATGGAGTGTTTTTTTTCAAGATAATCCAGTTTAATGGAACTGATGAGACTGGAACCCTTGGCTTCCCAAACTTTGGGCTGTTTCCCTGTCACCATACTACAGGCACCAATTGCTAACTTTCAGAACAGCAGCTCTTAAAAATAAAGACAAAGAATGTGAACACGTATAGTCGGTAAATTTCCCCAAAAGGCCCAACACAAATAGAAGATAAAAGGCAGCAGGCAGTCAGCGTGCTATGGTTTGAATGTGTCTCCCAGATGTTCATGTTTTGAAAACTTAATGCTCAATGCAGCAGTGATGAAAGGTGGGACCTTTAAGAGGCAATTAGGCCATGAGGGCTCTACCCTAATGAATGGATTAATGCTGTTACCACAGGAATGGATTAGTTATCTTGGGAGTAGGCTCTTGATAGAAGGATAAATTCAGCCCCATTTTTGTCTCAAGTTTGCTTCTTTCTGTTTTCTGCCATGGGATGGCTCTCACCAGATGGTCAAGCAGATGCCAGTGCCATGCCCTTGGACTTCCCAGTCTCCAGAACAGTGAGCCAAATAAACTTATTTTAAAAATTACCCAGTGTGTGGTATTGTGTTATAGCATCTGAAAACAGACTAAGACAACGTGTATATGACATGAAGGGGAATGAAGTGCAGTTTGCTAGAGAAACTGCAGAAGTTCTTCTGGAGCCCCAAGGGCTGTGTACACCAAGAATTTTTTTCTGTGATTTTTGGCTTTTTGAGCAAAAGAATGGTATGAAGACAAGAAGGAAAAAAAAAATCAGTATGAAAAGAATTTTGGGGATGTAAATGTGGCTCAAAATTGGAGTTTCAAAGTTTACAAATAGAAATGTGACAAAGGAAAAGAAAATGTGGACACCATTTTATGCATCAAGTTAGAGTATCTTCCTGGGAAGAAAGTCAGACCTTCGGAATACAAAAAGCAGTAAACAAAAACTAACTATAGTCAGGATGGCAGACAGTTACTCCCAAGGTAAGAAATCTCCTCACTAGTGCTGGAACCCCATTGTGTTGGTTGGCACCTAATTTCATACTGTGGGTGCTTAGCAGGGCTCAGTAGGAAGTGCATTGTTTTCCTAGAATATGTACTTTGGGAAGAAACCACATCTTACTTCTGATCTTTCACAGGGAAGTAAATAAGAAAGCCACAATTAGCATGGGGTGGGGGGATAAATTTTTAAGGACTTTGTGATCTTTTACATTGTTGGACATGAAAAGATTTTTGGTCATTTGTTCTATTTGGGGGGTCATGGTTTTAAAGAGAAGAGCAGACTTGTTATGGGAATAGCTGGCTATCTAGATGATGTTGAAAAAAGGATAGTGTTTTTTGGAGTATAGCTTAAATTTGCAGATGAATAGGCTCCTGAGAAAGTAGAGCATTTCTCATGATAATGTGTATAATTGAATAAAAAGGATTACCAATGAAGTTCTAGGAAAAAGTAGAATATTGTCCAGATGGAACTGCAAAAACAAAACACAAACGGAATTATACACATGAATGGATTTTATAAATTGCAAACTATCATATAGATAGTACAAGTGGTACCCAGCCATTCTTAAATAGAAAATGCAGTAAACAGAATTAGAAATAATATTTGTGGAGTACGATATTGATAAGACTATACTAGAGAACAAACACAAAGTGAACTTAGATTTGTAATGCAAGGAAGAAAAGATAATGCAATAGTTGTTATTGGAATCTGCTTCGATAATGGCTGGAATATAGCAAGGAAATTTTCTTGCTAGGTATGGAATCTATAAAACCAGAAGTGGAAACATGACAAAAAGCAAGTGGGTGAGGTTAAAAGATAAATAAAAATCACACGATTTTTAAAAGTCTGTCGAAATTGTTTTATTTAACAGATTTGAGAAAAGATGCAAAGAACTTAAAGAGGGTTTTAAACTATATTTGCAGCCAAAGTATTTGGAAAGCATAGGCTATAACTTAGGGTTGGGCTGGGTTTGTTCCTCAGACAAAAATGAAGTAAAACTGCTAACTTAGGTTTTACTTTTAACTTCTGAATTATAAAGAAGGATCTTCAATGAGAAAATGAAGAACAGAGAGATTGAGGCTTATGGAAAGGGAATGAATGGTAAAAGAACATGTAAGTATTTAAAATTAATTTAAGCCAGGTTTAGATCACTGGTTCTCAACCCTGGCTGCATATTAGAATCACAAGAGAAGCTTTTAAAAATACTTGCAGAGATTCTGATTTAATTGGTCTAAAGGTGAGGACCCAGGCAGGGGCATTTTTTAAAATCTCCCAGGGGGATTCTAATATGCAGTCATTTTTGAGAACCATTGCCCTGGATAAATTAATTATACACCAGAATTCACAAAGAACTCACAGGTGTTACAGGTGGAGAACAGAAGCGATGTCAGAGACTGGAGATGTTATTTTTTTTTAAATGCAGAAATGTAGACCCTGGAAGCTATAGAACAACAAGTCTGACACTCTCCCTTAATATAATCTGGAAAAAAATGTCCTGTGAGCATTTATAAAAGAAAGCAATTATTACTTTGGATCAGCATGGGCTTACCAAGGACAAATCAAGAGAAACTCACTGTGTGTGTGTGTGTGTGTGTGTGTGTGTGTGTGTGTGTGTGTGTGTGTATTTTACAGCTAAGTCAGGGGAAAGTCCATGCCTTGATTTCAGCAGTGTATTTGACAAAGTGCCTTGTAAGATTTTTGTGCAGGGGTATTCTTGGTGCAATGTGAAAAGCTTTGGATGTCCATGTAGATACCTCAGGGGTCTCTCAAAAGCCTTGCCTTCCTTCATTGCCTTCTCTTTGCTACAGGGAAGACAAAGAAGTAAGGCCCCTCACCACACCATCTACCTTGAACCAGAGCAACTCTGCTTCCATTTATTTTTATTTCACTATTTTGAAACAGATTTTATTTTAATAAAGTTTTATAGTAAAAACAATTTGGAAACTTCTATTTTAGACAACAAGATGCAGACACCAATGTCATATGTTAAAAGGTAATATTCATTCATTAAACAGATATGACCCTGTGTTGATGTGAAACTAAAGGAGAATCTTCATAGTCTGCTATCCTTTTATTAAAAACTCTGATGAAAACATTGAAGGTGTGCTGACAAAGGTGTGCTTACAGTGAAGCTAGAACAGTGGAGAGTCATCTAGATATCAGAATCAAGAATAAAATAACCACATCAGATGAGAATGATAGATCCAACCAAGAGATGATTTTTTTAAGGGATGTATTAGTCTTCTCAGGCTGCTATAACAAAATACCATATTATGGGTGGAGTAAGCAATAGACACTTATTCCTCACAGTTCTAGAGACTGGGAAGTCCGAGATCAACAAGCTAGCAAATGGCCACCTCCTTGCTACATTTTCACAAGGCAGAGGGAGCAGTCTGGTATATTTTTTTCTTCTTACAAGGGCACTAATTTCATCATGGGGGCCTCACCCTCATGACCTTATTCAAACTTAATTATCTCCAAATGGTCACACCTTTAAATACCATCAAGCTGGGTATTAGGACTTCAACATATTAATATTGGGGGAATACAAACATTCAATCCATAACAACAGATAAGCATAAAAGTTCTGCTGTTATAGAAAAAAATGATTTGCACAAGCACAGGACTTCATAGCTATTCATATGTAAAAGTGTCAAGGCATTAGACAATCATAGTCTTAAATGAAGTGGACATTAGAAAAATAAACACAATATTAATGTGGTTTAGTTTTTTCAGGTCACAGCAGGTTCAGGGTAAAAATAATCACAATGATAGTAATCATCAATAGCTTATCTTATGGGTTCACCTACCCCATAATTGTGAGAATCCAAAACTTCTATATCCGTGGACTTTCAAAGTCTTTCCACTACCTTTGAGAGTTTCCCTGGGACACCTTACAACTGGCAACACTCATCTGTCATCTATTAATTAGAGGCAACAATATTCACATTTCGCAGGGTTGTTGTCTGAATTGAGGGGTAGGTTGTATAAAAGCATTAGTAAACAGTTAAGTTCCGTACAAATAAACAATTAGTGTGGCTTAAAATGGGCTGTTTGAAGAGTAGATGCTAGACTGGCCTGCCAGAATCTGTCCTGCCCACGCAGCACTAAATCTCTTTTTCTCCCAGTGGCTGGGAATTCTGCTGACTGAAATCCTTCAGCTGTCAGCCCTCTCTGGGAATTGCTCTTTGGAAAGCCTCGCCCAAGGTCACAATTCACTTTGTGTGGGCAGCCTGCATCCAGTGGCTGAGCTATGTGGGGAGGTAGGGAGGAAGGGGGGTAGAAATGCTCCTTGCCCAACTTGGAACAATTCTAAGGGGTCATCCCAGTTCTAGGTCTTCCCCGTGGCATGGGCTGAGTCCTCTGTTGTGGCCACACAACAGCCCATCTTCTTTCTCCCTCTGCCCCATCCCACTTCCTTCCTTGAACTCAATGGTATTAATTCCAAGAACATGCCCTAATATACTTTATTCACAGTAATCTCTGTCTCAGAATCTGCTTCCTTGGAGTCCCAGTACCATTTCCAAGTCAGACAAAGAAAGACTCAGCTTTTCAGATGTGATTTTTTTTCCTCTTTTTTTTTTTCATCTTTCGGAATTGAGTGCATCTGGAAGCAATAAGCTGTAATAACCCATTTATTCTTCCCTCAAGTGAGTGTATTTAATGTGTAATATTACATCCTTGGGACAGACAGAAAACCTGACGCTGAGGGCTAGCTTCTGATCAATTTGTAACAAATAACCCAGTAAAAACATTCAAATGGTGGTAAAGGCAGCTTCATGGCAAGTTGCCAGTTGCTGGTAGTGTAAGTGCTTTGAAAGCTCAAGAGAAGACAGCAATAGTATGGCCTGGAATATTTGTGAAATTTTTAAATCAGATTCAGAGAATTTTGGAATTGGACATAATCTTAGAAATGTTCTAGTCCTAGGTCTCTGTTGAAGATGGAAATGGAATCCCAGACAGACCAAGTGACTCCATCTTTTCAAATCACAAAGCTGAAATAATAACTGGACCTTGAAGGAGGGGATAAGACTTAGAAGTCTATAACCGCGCTGATTTTCACTGTGCCACAAGGTGTCAACTCTTGGGGACAATTCTTCATCCATAAAGACCCTCTGGGGTCTGTATATGTTTGAATGAAGCACAGTACTCAAGGAATGTGACCTGTGGCCTTGACACTGCTTTTCACATTGATCTCCACAGTCACGATGGCTGATGTTTCTTTGTGCATAACCTTGCCCCATCTCTCAGTTTTCAATTCCTGGGGTTCTGCTAAAGCCACTCTGAAGCCAAAGCCACATATCACCTTGTCACATGATCCTGATGTCATCTGAAACATTACATTATAGCTCCTCTCTTCCATGCTCTTTCATTGCTTTGGTGTAGTGTGATTTAAATATCTCCAGCACCTCTGTGATATGGTTGACAACAGTAGTATTTCAAGCTGACTTTTCATCAGAAGCTTAGAAGGTGATTCACAATTACAGGGGCTATTCTCTTCTGGCTGAGATGCAGAGACATTAGACAAAGGCCATGGAGGAGGATCTGTGTGTCTCCTTATTGACCAAGAGCCCTGGCTGGTCTTATTGAATGAAATGCAGTTGGTAAAAATGCCAGGAAATTCATCAGGGGGCTTGAAAGACACTCAGCTGGACTTCCATGATGCTAGGTTAGGAGCAATTTGAACTTTTCATTAATATAGCAGTTGGCAATTTGCCATTTGATAGTATACTAGCTTCAGGGTACTAAGGCTAACTCTCAGTGTGGGAGCTATGTAATTTCTCTAATTAAAAAATCATAAGTCATCATTATTTATCCTTCACCGTATTTTGAAGTCACAATTTAGAAAGTAAAACAGCAATTCCTCTAAGATGAAACTAGAGAAAAAATGATTTCTACAACCCTGTCACAATAACAAATACAATTTTTATATATTCCTTTTTAAACTTTTCATTTTTTATGTGGACATTAATAGAAATTTGCTATTATTTATTTCTTCAGTTGCTTATATGCCATGTTGCTGCAATCATTCACTCAGAATTAATGTACTTATTCTCTTGTTTATTTATTTATTTTTGAGACAGGATCATACTCTGTTGTCAAGGCTGTAGTGCAGTGGTGCAATCACAGCTCACTGTAGCCTTGACTTCCCAGGCTCAAGCGATCCTCTCACCTCAGCCTCCCAAGTAAGTGGGACTACAGGCACGCACCACCACACCCAACTAATTTTTTTTTGTTGTTGTTTTTTAAAGACGGGGTCCCACTATGTTGCCCAGGCTGGCCTTGAACTCCCAGGCTCAAGTGATCTCTCTCCCTGGGCCTTCCAAAGTGCTGGGGTTATAGGTGTCAGCCTCTGCACAAGGCCTCATTCTCCTACTTTTAAGTATTTAATTGTTTTTGTTTTCACGATTATCAATAATGCTGGGATAAACATTTCCATTACACAAGCTTTTCTACATATTGCATTATTTTTTTAGGAACTTCCCAGAGGTGAAATTACTAGTTTAAAAGTATGAATGCTGTGAGTCTTGAAAGATATCTAAGCTCCAAAAGAAATTCATCGATTTACAATTTTCTTATTATTTTGTTAGGAAACGAACATCTCATTTTTTAAATTTGCATCTCACATTAGTACTACAAAAAATTGATCACTATTAAAAATTGTTTTCTTACAGAAACTTCTATGATCTATACAGGTCAGGGTAGTGTAAATCAAGTAATGGTGTATTGAAAAGGTTGCAAGGAGAAGTTCTTGCAACTTCTGTGCAGTGGGGTGCTGGTGCTCTGTGACCCAAGGCAGTAGCCATGCTTGCTTTGGACATGGTGATACCAGCACTGGTGAGTGGTGATAGGTCTAACATTATCATGAGCTGCCATGGGCAACTGTGCCCCTAGCACTGAGTGAGGAGACCCTGAGGTGATATCCATGCCTACTGAGAGAGACTTCCAAGGGCAGATGCAGGGGATCCAGCAGTAGGGGGAAGATGCTCCTCAGTGGATGTAACCAATGATCAGGGAGACGTTGGTAGTCATGGAAGCCAAAGCTTACATCCCACACTCATAGATGGGATGAATATGGAAACTTTTGATAGGGGATGAGCTAAAGCATTACAGGGTGGGGTGAACCAGAAACATGCTGATTACTAAAAATTGGTCTCATTTGTATTTATGCAGTATCAGTTTTGTTTTATTATGCCAGATCTATAATATCTATTAAAAAATAGTTCTAGAAATTTTTCATTGACTATGATGATAATTTTTACTTCAAAATAGATATTTTAAATTATATGGCAGTCATTCCATCTCCAATTTTATATATAAACAAAATAAAGAATGTATATTTTTATCTTTTACCCTGTATTAAAAAGATTATATGATTTTCTTTTAGTTTAGCCTGTTAGTATATTATATACACAGATTTTCTTATCTTGAATTGGAAGAGTAGACATATCAGTTTTAAAATATTTATTGAGAATTTATTCTGTGTAAGGCATTAGGTGGATCAGGGAAGAGTAAAAAGTAGTGCGTTTGTATTACCTGGTAATTGAAAATGATCACGTTGATGACATGATTACAATTAGGGAGATTGCTTCCTTCCATTTTAAAGAGATGTTCTCGCCACACGATCTCTCATTTCTTTTTATTGTATGTATTTTTCAGTTATTTAACCGTAACTCATTTGAATAAAATTATTAATCATCCACTTTGCTTATATAGAAACGGTTATGGTATTCTTAAAGATTCTCTGTGAGTTTTGATTCTGTTCAAGTTGCTTGAGTTGTGCATCTTAGGAATACTCATCTGAGAATTTCTAATTTTCATGGTGTGTTTCTAAAGCTGGGCTGGCCATTGATCTCTTCTTATTTTAATAAATGCCATCCTTATTAAAATTGTTAAATGGAGTCTAGTGATTAGAAGACTCAGATAGCAAAGCAATTACACAAACAAAACCACAGCATAATTCAGACTCAGTTTTAACCAATTTACTTAACCATTTTATTTTTCTAGTCTCCTTTTAACTTGTGCACCTAAAATCCTAATGACAAATCAGGGGAAGAGTTTCTCCAAGAAAGAAAGGTTCAAAGTACCCTAAAGCTGGTTGGTGGCCAGGATCAGGAACAATCTGAGATTGAGTTCAGTTATTAGATATCATTTCAAGGATAAGGGCCTCCCCAAAATGAAGATTACAGAGGGCCCCTTATTCAGTTACTGAAATGTATTTACCTGTTGAAACTCAGAATTTTATCTTACAGGACATCAAAAACATCCACATATCCTTTTACCTATATTACCTGGTATTAAAATCCCCCAGAGCAAATTCAACTTAGTATTTTAATTTAGATCATGTAACATACTTGGCACATGAATATTACTTCTTATGAATTAGTAATTAAAATTTTCTTCTAAAATGTATATTATTGTGACTTTTAATATTCTTCCTTCTGAAGAGAGAAAAATGTAAATCAGGAGAGGAACAGTTACAATGCAACATTCAGCTAGTGGCTGGGAGAGGAATGAAGAGAGAAATGAAAAATGTACTAAGACTTCTATCCCTTAGATTTAATTAAAAGCTGCTCTTTTTGTTTGCCTTTTTGGCATGGCTGCAGATTAATACTTTTTTCATTTTTCTATAAAATTAAAAATGCCAATTGTTGATTTTTAGTGGATAAAAAAATTTCAAATCAGTCTCTGAAATAATACTGCAAACCAATAACAGTCATGTTGAGAAAAACCCAAAAAACCCTAAAGCAACCAGAAATAAAAATCCCTAAAAAGCTTTTCATTTGACTTATCTTAGTTGTTGAGAATATTTCTAGTGACAGTTGACTGATTCTTTCATTTTACAAGTATCCAATCATTCATTAGCAAAAAAGACTTGGATTAAGTATTTGGGTGTAGAGTTTTCTTATTCAAGCCTTCAGTGAAAATGACAGTTTTCATAATCTTATTCTCATGTCTATCTATTTCTACCCAATATGAAGCTCACTGTAATTTGATTCAGTCAGTCGTTGTGTTTCTTGTTGTTGAGCTTCTGCTGTTAGACCATAATAGGGGTAAGAAATAGAAGAATTAGTAAAACCCAGTAACTGCCATGGAGAAATTCAAGTGCATTGGCAATAGAGAAATAACATTCCCACTGTGCTTTAGATTGGGTGGAGTCATCTAACAAAGGGGATTTTGTTAATAAAAATACATTAGCAGAAACACTAAGAGATTATATGCTCTATCTAGAAGGACTTAGGGAGATTATCTAGTTCAAATCCCTCATTTCACCAATAAGGGCATTACAGCTCAGACCTCATAGTGTGTAGCTATCCTGGTAAAGGATTGAAATTTTCATACATCCTAATATTTTATTGCAATAAGAGGTACTTGAAAAAAAGGGTGAATTTGACCTCCATCTACAGATGTGTACATCACCCTCTTATTATTTCTAGGCATTTTGAATTGAAAACAACCTTATGTGTTCACTAATTGGCATGAATTTAAAGTCTTTGTTTTAAACTGTGTTTTGCTATTATTCAGGTATGCTGACACTAACAGATCAGGAGACAATTGTCATTGAAAAAACAGTTGTTATTCACAGTTCTCAAGAGAATGGGGCACAGAACTCCATGCAGGTCCTCAAGGGGAAGCACCAGGGCAGTCAGGAGGCAGACGGAGTGGGAGGAAAGCATGGGCAAGAGGCATTATTGTGGTTTCTGCAAGAAAGAATGGGTGAGGCAGGGTAAGCAGGTTTATGATGATGAGTTTGTTTGAATAATTTCAGTGGGTTTTGGGGTAGGAGGCTGTCCTGAGTTGTTTGGTAACTGGCCTTGCAGTGATTAGGATAGGGGAATATTGGCCTGGAGTTTAAGAGCCAAATAGAAGAGGTGTGGGGGAGTTGTGGGCTTTGGATTGGTGAATTTGCAAGTGAAAGCTGTGCTCCAAGGTTAGTCATTTGCTAATCTCTATGAATTGGCTGTCCTTAGGGAGAGAGGGCAGTCTCTGCCCAGTTAGAGAGACCCCAGATGCCAGAGCATCAGGAATACAGAAAATAAGAAAATATAGTCAACACAGTCTTCTAACAAGCAACATGCATTTTGTGTTGACTGGGGAGGAGGGTTGCCCCTTAATAGAATCAGCTCCAATTATCAATATTATAACTGCCTATAATGAAGTTTTTAGTTTAGTTTGTTTTTACTTAAGCTAGAGTATCATTATATAGTATTGTCTCAAGATATTATTGTAATCTGATAGACAAGATACTAAATATTTCTGGAGCTTCATGTCTTTTGAACTTTGGCAATAGCTTGAGCTTTCCAAATGAAAAATGCTAATATAAACTTTTCAGATGCACAACTCTCTGACTAGTAATTATATTCCCACACTTAGGAGGATGGATTTGTTACTTGAGTTTGGGAAAAATGACTCTGAGTGGAAAAAAAACAAGTAGACTACATATTACAATAGATTATATTGGAAAAGTGCACCTACCTATAAGTTCATGTTTTGAAATTTAGAAGATCTTTTGTCATAGAAAGAAATGCTAGGTGATTTTCAGTTTCAACTTTAAACATGTTTATAGCTTCCCAGTTTTCTATAATGAGTTTGCATCATTATTATAGTTGGGGAAAAATGGTTTTCCAACAAAATATTTATTGAAACTAAGTCAAATCAGGGAAAAGATATAATAACATGTTTTATAATACTTGAAGTAAGGTGTTTATGTAGCCTTTTGGGAAAAGGTTTTGTTTTTGTTTATATGCCATAAATAAAGATATAATATTTCAAAAAAATGAAAATTAGGGTCTCATTTGCCATCTTTAGTATATTTAACCCAAATGTAGCTAAACTTTGAATTTGGGGATCCTATAATTCAATTAGCTAAAATTTTGAGAGTCAGAATGTTTGTTGTATGAGAAAAAGATGGATATATTTGTGGAAAATATGCCTATTTATGAAATAAGCAGAGTTAGGTTTTATATTTACTCTCCTATCACTTCCCCCACAAACTCCAACCCAAGTTAATCCAACCCAAGAAAAACAAAGCCACACACACAGTTCTTACCTCCCCATGCCCCCAGTCCCTCCTGCTGCTCCTCCACCCACAAATGTACCCATCCAACTGCACAGTGCTCTAAAACCATCTTCTCCCCTTTCCTTCTAAAAGAAGACTGGTGTAGTTCAGCATACCAGTGTAATTTCACACAATGAGAACTTCTCCAAGTAAACCACATAAAGGTATAAAATATGACCAATCAATCTCCTTACCCTCCCCAAGTATCTGGCTTTTAAAAAGATGCTTGTGTCCTAAATAAAACTGCAATGGAGGGCAGGAGTGAGGTGTGTATCTTCATCAATGTGACAATATCACGTGTATATGGGCTGATACAATTTATAAGCAGAGAACTATCCAGTAGGCGCAGTGACTTATAAACAATTCCTTCTCTAATACCCCCTCATGCAATAACTTTGCACATTAATTGATCAAGGCTCTAAGAAATTCTGCAGTAAAGAAATCAGCCTAACTATGCTTCGGTCAAGTCCCCAATATTATCTCTATTTTTTATAATGTCTTCTCTTTTTCTAATTCTAAATCTACATATTTTCTAAGAAAGCCAAGCTTTTATAGTTCCCATGGTAAGGACAGGGGACTCTCAAGGAGGGGCAAAGAGAGAGGGTAACAGCTGCCATTTTTATGGGTGGGTGCTTTGTAAATGGAATAGTGCCATGAAGTTACAGGAACAATCAACCTAACATATATCTAAGGATTGTGTCCTATGAAGATTACATTAACCAGTGCCAGCATGGATACAGGGGGAAGGATGGGACATCTCAATATCTCAATCAAAGTATAAGGAGTTGGTTATTTTAGATAACAACAAAATGCAAAATACATCTTCCAGGTTTGCTAGAGAAAACCTACAGACAGCTGAGTCACCCTAAAGTTGTCTTTGGCTCTGTGAAGCCATTCCTCTAGGATTGAGTGGTGTCAAAAAATTCTGCTAGGAAAGGGGTCCTCTATGGGTGCTGTTTCTATCCCTCATCAGGGTTGCTGGCTACCTGTTGCTGGTAGCTGTGAACTAGATGACTCTTGAAGTGACAGCTAGAATCTGTCTTTCTCTTGAAGACAGTAAGCTTGAAAACCAGCTCTCTGATCATTTATGTGTGGGCTTCAATTTGCTATGGTGATAAGAAAACCACCAAAAAAATCATGCCTCTTTGTAATTTTCATTTGCTTAATTCATATGACTTCAAAGTAGCTAAAGGGCTATTTTTTTAAGTATAAAGAATACAAAAGTTCTTGGCTTAGACCTGCTTCTTAAAGTGAAAAATATATACACATACAGGTTTGTGAAATGATTTATTAAGCTGAGAATTATTAGATTTCCTCTATTCTCAATACTTATATTTTACCCTTTGCTGGTGTCTTTATAAACTTCCTATTATGAAGAAACAAACAACAACAACAATAAAAAAAAAACACCCAACCCACTTTTGCATTCTCAACATAAGATTTCTACCTAATTTAAAATTTCTGCCAATAATTTCACCAGGAGAATGTGCCAAATAAGTGAATATTTTTAGTTCTATGAGTTAAACAGCAGATACAGATCTGTGATTGAAGATAAACAATCTGTCAGCTAAATATTTAAAAATAACGAATAGAGTTTCCTCCTAATATACAGTATTAAATTGATTTTGAAGCTCAGATTGATTTTATTAGTAAGTTCTTTTTTTTTTTTCCTTCCTCTGGTGGATAGTTTGCTTAAAAGGATATTAACCTTTTCAACTGGCAACTGGATATTGTGGCAGCAAATGCCTTCCTTTTGAAGCATCCTCCTGATACGTAATGTACAATAGCCAATTTTGATGCCAGTCTCTGGCTCTCTTCATATGTATCATAGTTCTTGTCAAAGAAATCCATTTTATTATTTTTTTTTTATTTTTTGAGACAGTCTTGCTCTGTCACCCAGGCTGGAGTGCGGTGGCACTATCTTAGCTCACTGCAATCTCTGCCTCCCGGGTTCAAGTGATTCTCCTGCCTCAGCCTCCTGAGTAGCTGGGACTACAGGCACCAGCCACCATACCTGGCTAATTTTTGTATTTTTAGTAGAGACGGGGTTTCACCATGTTGGCAAGGCTGTTCTCGAACTCCTGACCTCAAGTGATCCACCTGCCTCAGCCTCTCAAAGTGCTAGGATTACAGGTGTGAGCCACCTCGCCCCGTGAGCTCTGTGAAACCCATTTTTAAAAGGGAGTCATTTATAACTCCAAACTGTATTAATTCTTCTTCTTCATCGTCATTCTCTATACGAAGAAGAAAGATCTTTGAAACTATTCCTTAATCAGTGACATCATTCTAAAATCCTAAGTAATGTTGTCATGAATTGATATTGTATTCCATTGAGTTACTTGACACTTTTAAATATTTGTTTGACAAAATGGGTCATTGATTAAATACTATGATTCAGTTATCTCTAAAAAATATTAAGATAAAACAGCTTTTCTTCTCCAGGTTTGTTTAATAAGAATCATTTAAATTGCAAAAGAGCTATCCTCAAGAGATTCTTGCCAGTTTTATTTTAATGAGAAACAAAACAATATTAAAGAAAACTGGGACAAATTTTGGGAAGTTTCTTGCAGAATCATAAAGGTATAAAAAGTTGTGTAAATCATATTGTTTTTCCATGTTTTTTCTTCAAAGCCAGCTACAGCTTTTTAATTCACTTAAAAATACCTTTTAAGCTCTCTGTCATGGAGACTTAAAGCACATTTTACTGGGATCTTTGGCCTCAAAAAACTTATAACTTGGTATTTTGTTTAACCATGGTTATATTGTGTGTGTGTGTGTGTGTGTGTGTGTGTGTGTGTGTGTGCTTAGCTTCACAAATTCTTACTTTGAAAGTGAGAAATTCTTACCTTGAAGTTGATCCCATTATCTATTCGAGATGACAACCTGGTAATTTGACTTGCCCTTTGTGATTTTTTTTTTTTTTTTTTTTTTTTTTTTGAGACGGAGTCTCATTCTGTCACCCAGGCTGGATGGAATGCAGTGGCACGATCTCGGCTCACTGCAACCTCCATCTCCTGAGTTCAAGCGATTCTCCTGCCTCAGCCTCCTGAGTAGCTGGTATTACAGGTGCACGCCAGCACGCCCAGCTAATTTTTGCATTTTTAGTAGAGACGGGGTTTCACCATGTTGGTCAGGCTGGTCTCGAACTCCTGACCTCATAATCTGCCCAACTCGGCCTGCCAAAGTGCTGGGATTACAGGCGACCTTTGTGATTTATAGTATAGCTCTGTGGTCCTTAGCTTTGGAGATGATGCTACAATATGGGAATTCCCATTCACATTTTGTATCATGTGTTCGTTTTACACTCAGTTTATGTAAAGCATTTGTGAATGCTGCTGTTTGTGGGCTGACCCTTGTTTGTAGCTCTGCCACTCACATTCAACATCTGCTTAAAACTGCTATGCCCAAAAGAGGCAGGTGGTGAGGGTTAAGAATTCAGACTATGCAGTTCCATACCTGCATAGGATACCTGGGCTCGTGCTCCAAATCTTTAGTACTCTAGGTATGTAGCCTTAGGCTACATTTGTCTAAGACTCCTTATCTGCAAAATGGAAGTAATAATATGGTAAAGCTCCTCATTAAACTATAAGTTTTGCCTAAAAATTCACGCCTGTAATCCCAGTATTTTGGGAGGCCCAGGCAGGTGGATCACCTGAGGTCAGGAGTTCAAGACCAGCCTGGATAACATGGTGAAACCCTGTCTCTACTAAAAGTGTAAAAATTAGCTGGGCATGTTGGTGGGCACCTGTAATCCCAGCTACTCGGGAGGCTGAGGCGGGAGAATCACTTGAACCCAGGAGGCGGAGGTTGCAGTGAGCCAAAATCACACCATTGCACTCCAGCCTGGTCAATAAGAGCAAGACTCCGTCTTTAAAAAAAAAAAAAATTAGATTTAGTAAAATGCTGTTTTTGTGAGATTAATGAAATGGGAATGAGGGCTGGTACAGAATGAGTCCCTGGGACAGCAGCAAGGGTCCTATTTTTCCTTTGGGCATGTCATCATTCTCAGTCCTTGGGTGTGTGTCCTCTCATTTGCCCATGTCAAGAACATAATCAGAAGTGTATAGTTATTTGCTGAGGAGTTGGGAGCTGTTCACAGCCTGTTGAATTAACTGCTTCTCAGAGGAGCAGAAATATATTTTACCACCAGCTTCTGGGTCACGTTTTGCATTCTCAAGCATGGCTGCATGAAATAGACTGAATAAGGGGTAACCAAGAGTGGAAATTTTCTTTTTATGCATCATTGACTATTTCCTTCTCATTCTGTCTTTTCAGTGAGAAATTACAGGCTTTGGTGCTTTAATTATTATGTCTATTAGAATAATCTAGCCTTCAATGCATAGCAATTTAAAGCTTCTTTCTTATTCATCATATTTAGTTTTTTATTTCTTAATTTATTTTTCTAAAAAAATCAGGTCTATTGTAGCAGGAATTCTGTATTGAAAACATTCCAGAGTTAAGCTAAATTCTTAAAATGCTAGTAACAACAATAATGATAGTGATATTAGTAATCATGTTTATAATCACATGTAATCAATAATATAATGCTAATATTATTAGTAATATTGTGATTACTAATAGCAGTCTATAAACTAACAATGAATCATAATGGCAATCATAATAATGTGAAAACTATAATTTAATACCTATAATATTCCTAGCACTTAACGTATTTATTATTTTGTTTGCTATTCTTCCAAATACGCTCATAGACATTAGTATATTTTAGTGAACAAACTAACTTTCAGAAAGTTGCATCAGTATGTCAATTCACACAAGTATAGTTGACACCAAGAGTCAAATTATTCCTATTATACACACTTGATGACTTAGCTATAAATTTTAACTTTCTTATTTCTTCACATGAGGCTGATATTAAGATGTCCTAGCAAATATTTCTAAAAAAAAATGATCAATTATTTACTTATCTGGTTTCAAGTCTTCTGGATATGGGTCAGGCAGTATCGTGTCCAGATACAGTGTTTTTCCTAATATGAGTTTTAGAAATACATTTATAGATTACTGGAGATTTTGTTAATTTGCTTTGGTTAGATGCAAGATTGTAACTTAATGGCTGTAATGTTACAGAACAGTCACTTCAAGTCAAAGGAAGGGCAGCACTTTGGCATGATTCTAGAATATGTTTTTACCAAACCAGGATTTTTTTTGGTTCTTGCCCAGTAGGAATTGGGTCCAATTTTAGAATCAATGTTAATCCAATAAAAATAATTTTTCTTTTTCAGTGAAAATAAAGCACTTTCTTGGGAGATACTTTATACAATCTTTCCCAATCAGGCTGGAGTCTTCTTCCCCCACTCCTATTTCCTGCCTTTGCTGTGAAAGCTCTGTGAAAAATAAGCACAGATGAGAGGACACAATGACATCTGCCTTCCTGCTTGTGGTTCCATAAGTGATACTTCTGTGGGATGCAGTTGTACTGATATTGGTGGGAAGGGGAATCCATTTTTCATTATTGAAAATAGCTTTCTTTCCTTTGAAAATGACAATTGTGCGTCAGAGGAAAGTGGGAGCTTGGAATGAAGAAAGTGTCGGGATAAATTTAGCTTTTGTCTTTCTTCTGATCTCAATTTGGATATTGTTTGCAAGATGAGCCCTGTTCAACCCTCAGGATCAAGAAGATTGTGAAAGGGGTGGGAAACAGCACAGGTGCACTGGACAGTGAACAATCAGATACAATCCAATCAATGCCTGGTTTTGTCTGTCCTCGCAGGAGGGCCTTTTATTCCCTCTCTCCTCTGTCCCTATTTTTCTGGTCGTGCTGTGTGATAAATAATAAGATCAAGAGGCTGGACACTAAGATTCTAGCCTCTGTTCAGCCTGATAAATTATTGTTCTAAGTGTACTATTTCTTGCCTTCTTGCTGTTGTACTATTTCTTGCCTTCTTGCTGTTTAAAAAAGTATTTTTTCATTTTTGGCAGTTATACAAAGAAAACCAAAATGTAATCTGTACAGAGTTTAACACAGTGTGTATATATGTACATGCAGGTAAATATGTATATATATATATATGCATGTATATATGTACATGCAGGTACATATATATATATGCATGTATATATGTACATGCAGGTACATATATATATATGCATGTATATATGTAGCTGTAAAAACATAAGTACAGACATTCATGTGCATATGTACACACACAAACTTGAATTATTATTTGTGCAGGGAATTTGTATATTTAGTGACAAATTCTTAGGCCTTTGAAGCATAGACCAAATGTTTAATCATCTGTAAACCATTGAGTAGGGAAAGTTTAGTGCAAAGAAGGTGGTATATATATATATATATATACACACACACATATACAAATACAAATATACATACACACATACACACACACATATATATATATATATATATATTTTTTTTTTTTTTTTTTTTTTTTGAGGCGGGGTCTTACTCTGTCACCCAGGCTGGAGTGCAATGGTGCAATTTGGCTCACTGCAACCTCTGCCTCCTGGGTTCCAGCTATTCTCCCACCTCAGCCTCCCAAATAGTCAATATATGTGTTTTAATACCCTGAATTTCATTTTAGTTTTCCATAGTCTTATTAAGAAGCCAGAAAATAATGGTAATGCTGACTTTAGAGGTTAGAGAATAATGTGTGTTTGTGTAAGGAAAATTGGGGGTGAGGATGAACATGTGGTTGAATGATAGATTGATGGCTAGTATTAACAACTGCTAACCTTTTATACAACCTAGGGTCACAAAATTCATGGGATTGTCACAAACCTGGAAAAAATGGGAACTTTATACTTCTAGCCTGTTATCACTTCAGTGGCAATCCTAGAGATAAGGCTTCTATTATTTTAACAATTATATTTTTGTGTATATTCTCTGGAAATAGTTGTAATACTGAGGCCTCTGTCATTCTAAAAAGAGCTGATCTGGTTAATAACTATTAACTTAGAGGCTTTCAGTAGAATCTCTTTTAGTGAACAGCAATCTTGAATTTTAAAAAATATATCTCGAGCATGGTGCCAGCAAGATGGCTGACAAGAGATGCCTAATGCTTATCCCCTCTCCCAATAAAAAGGGATCAACAAATAGCCAGGCACATTTCAACTAGGGTATTTGAAGGAGAGTGCTGGAGTAAAACAGATGACTGGTAGGGATCCTGTAGAGCATAGTGACTCATAATGGATGCACAGAAAAGGGAATGAAACACTCCAACTTTGCCTCCTGGTCTCTGCAACCTGGATCAGTTCAGAACCAGAAGGAACTCTCCCTGTGGGGAAAAATAAGAAAGAAACCTCCAGTACCCACTTCCCTCCTCCCCAATTAAAGTCATGAATACCTACAGTATTTGCTGCTGGAGAACCCTACAGTCCTTCCAAGCTCTGAGCCCAGTATAGGGAGTTTCCAGGAGTTCACATGGCTGCATTACTCCAAAGAAGGAACCCATATTTTGCTTCTCTGCCCAGGCTGCTGCTATATGGTGCCGTTTTGAGACTGGAGACACTGCGAGAGTATGTCCTGCTCTGGAGGCAAGTAGCCGCCACATCTCCCTGCCCCTGAGGATCTGCCAACTATACTGCGCTCACAAATGGTAGTGTGCCATTCCCCAGCCAAGCAGTTACAGCTCCCTACCCACTTGGAAAAAACCACCTATAAGACACTCCGTCTTCATCCCAGTGGCTGAGGTGCCCAAACCTGGCTACTCAGAGCCTAGGCCCAGTGGAGCAGCTGTAACCTTGGTGTTTAAGCCCTCAAGGCACACTGCCCCCCCATGGAACAGGTGGTCTTGTCCAGTGAGAACAACATGCCCAACCTGGTGAAGGAGCAGCCCTGGGGCACCCTCAGCTCACAGAACAGCTTGGTGCCCCTGTCCTGAGTGATGAGGCTGTGCTCAAGTAGCCACACAAACTCCTGAACATTAGGCCACTTAGGCTGTCACTGGCATTGCTGACATTGGCTACAGCTATAAAAACTACAGAGACTACACTACTGTGCCCATGTGGAACCAAAGCCAATGTACCCTACCTAACCAACACCCTAGGACACATCTGTAGTTGAAAATCATTCCACACAAAGTGACTCTGTAAAATTAGAAGAAGCAATCATTCCATTGGATGCACAGTTGTCAATGTAGGAATACAAGAAACATAAAAAGGCAAGGAAACATGATACCACCAAATAAATACATAACTCTTTAGTAACTGACCCCCCCATGGAAATTTACAAATTGCCTAAAAAGGAATTCAAAATATCTTAAGGAAACTTAGTGCTATAAAAGTGAATACACATACATTATTCAATGAAATTAGGGAAGCAATTAATTATCTGAATGAGAAATTTAACAGAGATAGAAGTGATTAAAAACAAAACAAACAGAAATGTTGAAGCTGAAGACTTCAGTGAATAAAATAAGTACAAGTGAGAGCTTCAACAGATAGATAAAGCAGAAGAAAGAATGTCTGAACTTAAAGATAAGTAGTTTGAAATAATCCAGAGGGGGAAAAAAAGGAAAAAAGAATGGAAAAGAGCAAAGAAAGCCTGCAAGACCTATGGGACACTAGTAAGTGAACAAACATTCATGTTCTGGACATTTCAGACAGAGATAAGGTTGAGAACGTTTATTTAACAAAATAATAGCTAAAAACATCTCGAATTTTGGAAGAGATATAGGTGCTCAGACCCATGAAGCTCTAAGGGCCTCAATTAGATTTAATCCAAATAAATCCTCTTCAAGGCACATTATAATTAAACTATCAAAAGTCAAAGACAGAGAATTTTAAAAGCAGCAAGAGAAAAGTGTCCAGTCACATAATTCCCTTATATGTGATAAGGGACTCCCCATTAGACTATCAAAAATGTTTTTTCAGCAGCAACCTTGCAAGCCAGGAGAGGATGGGATGATATATTCAAAGTGTTGAAAAATAAAAAAGAACTGTCAGTCAAGATACCATACTCAGCAAGATTATCCTTCAGAAATGAAGAGAAATAAAGTCTTTTCCAGACAAGCAAAAGCTGAGAGAATTCATCACCACTAGACCAGCCTTACAAGAAATGCTTAAGAAAATGCTTCAACTGGAAGCAAAAGAATACTAATTATGACCATTAAATCATATGAAAGTAAAATTCACTAGTAAAGGTGAGTTTTACATAATCAAATTCAGAATACTGACTGGACGCAGTGGCTCATGCCTGTAATTCCAGCACTTTGGAAGGCTGAGGCGTGTGGATCATGAGTCTTGAGTTTCAGACCAGCCTGGTCAACATAGTGAAACCCTGTCTCTACTAAAAATACAAAAAATTACCTGGGCGTGGTCGTGGGTGCCTGTAATCCCAGCTACTCAGGAGGCTGAGGCAGGAGAATCCCTTGAACCTGGGAGGTGGAGGTTGTAGTGAACCAAGACTGCACCGCTGCACTCTAGCCTCGGAGACAGTGCGAGACTCCATCTCAAAAAAAAAAAAAAAAAATTAGAATATTTTATTACTGTAATGGTGGTATATAATCTTTCAGATCTCTAGTATGAAGATTAAAAGTCAAAATGGCCAATAATTATCATAGCTACAATAAGTTGTTAAGAAATATACTATGTAAAAAGATGAAAGTTTAGGCAAAAATACAAATTGTGGGAGGCAAGGGTAAATGTCTGGAATATTTGTATACAACCAAATTTAACCTGTTACCGGCTTAAAATAGTCTCCTTATAAGTATAAAATTTTAATGTAGGCCCAAGGAACTACAAAGGAAAAATTACAGCAGTCATACAAATGAGAAAAAGAAAACAATCAAAGCTTATAACTACAGATAACCACCAAACCACAAAGGTAAACAAGAAAGAGAGGAACAAAAGATCCACAAAATTACTAGGAGGCAATTAGCTGAGTGGCAAGAGTAAGTCTTTATTTGTCAATAATAAACTTGAATGTAAATGGAATACATTCATCAGTTAAAAGATATAGAGTGGCTGAATGTATGAAAGAATAACACCAAACTATATGCTGCCTACAAGTCTTCCTTCACCTGTAAAGATATACGTAGACTGAAAGTGAAAAAATGGAAAATGCTATTCCATGCAAACAGAAGCCAAAAAGAACAGGAGTAGCTAGAAATTAGATAAAATAGACTGTATATCAAAAACTGTAGAAAGAGACCAAGATTGTCATTTTATAATGTCATCATATAATGACAAAAAGATCAATTCAGCAAGAGAATATAACAATTGTAAATATATATATATATATATTTCTAACACTGGAGCACTCCAATATGTAAAACAAATATTATTAGACTTAAAGGAAGAAATAAATATGATAAGAGTAGGAGATTTCAACACCCCATTTTTGGCAACAGATGGATCAGACAGAAAATCAATAAAGAAACATTAGATTTAAATTGCAAGATAAAATAGACATAACAGACAATACAGAATATTCCACCCAACAGCTGTAGAATAAGCATTCTTTTTCTCAGTACATGGCACTTTTCCTAGAATAGATCATATGTCAGGCTACAAAATAAGTCTCAAAAACTTTTTAAATATCAAAATCGTATCAGGTATCTTTTCTGACCACAATGGCGTAAAACTAGAAATTAATAATGGGAGAAACTTTGGAAACTATATAAATACAGGAAAATTAAACAGCATACTGTTGATCACCAAATTGGTCAATGAAGAAATTTAAAAGAGAATTTAAAAACCCAAAACAAAGGAAAATGTAAATACATCTTACCAAAATCTATGGGATATAGCAAAAGCTGTTCTAGGAGGGAATTTCATAGCAATAAATGCCTACAACAAAAAAAATTAGAAATAGCTTATGAAAACAACCTAATGATAGGCCTCAAGGTATTAGAAAAACAAGACCAAACTAAAACCCAAATTAGTAGAATGAAAGAAATAGTAAAGATCAGAGAATAAATAAGCAAAATAGAGACTGAAAAATTATAAAAGATCAATAAAACAAAGAGTTGGTTTTTGATCATATAAAATGAATAAACCATTAGCTAGACTAAGAAAAACACAGAGAAAAATCCAAATAAATAAAATCTGAGATGTAAAGACATTACAATTGATACTACAGGAATACAAAGGATCATAAGAAACTATTATTAACAGCTATGAACAAACAAATTGGAAAACCTGAAAGAAATGGATAAATTCCTGGGCACATACAACCTACCAAAATTGAGTCATGAAGAATTAGAAACTGAACAGAACAATAATGAGTTGCAAGATCGAATCAATAGTAAAAAGTTTCCTGTCAAAGAAAAGCTCAGGACCTGATGGCTTCACTCTTGAATTCTAAACAACATTTAAAAAAGAACCAATACCAATCCTTTTAAAAATATTCCAAAAAATTAAAGAGGAAGAAATTCTTCCAAAATTATTCTCTGAGGACAGCATCACCCTGATACCAAAACCAGACAAAGACACAACATAAAAAGAAAACTACAAATCAATATTCCTGACAAACACAGATGTAAAAAACCTCAACAAAATACTAGCAAACCAAATCCAACAGGACATTAAAAAGATGATACACCATGATCAGATGGGTTCATCCCATGGATACAAGGATGGTTCAACATATGGAAATCAATGAATGTGATACGTCCCATCGATGGGGTCAAGGGCAGAAACTGTATGATCATCTCAATAGATGCAGAAAAAGCATTTGATAAAATTTGACATCCCTTAATATTAAACTCTTAATAAATTAGTTATGAAAGGAATATCCCTCAACACAATAAAAGCCATATATGACAATTCCATGGCTGACCATCAAACTGAATGGTGAAAAGTTGAAAGTTTTTTCTTCAAGACCTGGGATAAGACAAGGATGACCACTTTCACCAGTTTTATTCAATATAGTTCTGAAATTCTAGCCAGAGCAATTAGGCAAGATAAGAAATAAAGGACATCCAAACTGGAGAGGAGGAAGTCAAATTATCCTTGTTTGATGATGACATGATATTATATAGAGAAAACCCTAAAGACTCCACAAAAACTTCAGAACTAATAAGTGAATTCAGTAAATTTGTAGGACATAAAAATCTGTTGTGTTTCTGTATGCCAATAGTGAACTATCTGAAAAAGAAATCAGGAAAGAAATTATTTACAATAGCTACAAAAAATACCTAGGAATAAACTTAACTATCTAGTGAAAGATCTGTAGAATGAAAACTGGAAAACATTAATAAAAGAAATTGAAGAGGGAACAAATAAATGGAAAGGCGTTCTGTGTTCATGAATTGGAAGAATTATTAGTTACAATGTCCATACTACCTGAAATAATCTACAGGGTCAATGCAAACCCTAACGAAACACCAATGACATTATTTACAGAAATATTTTAAAAACCCTAAAATTCATATGGAACTGAGAGACAGGACTAGCTGGATTTCCTAGGCCGACTAAAAATCCCTAAGCCTAGCTAGGAAGGTGACCGCTTCCACCTTGAAACACGGGGCTTGCAACTTAGCTCACACATGACCAATCAGATAGTAAGGAGAGCTCACTAAAATGCTAATTAGGCAACAACAGGAGGTAAAGAAATAGCCAATCATCTGTTGCCTGAGAGCACAGTGGGAGGGACAATGATCAGGATATAAACCCATGCATTTGAGCAGGCAAGGGCAACCGCCTTTAGGTCCCCTCCCTTTGTGTAGGAGCTCTGTTTTCACTCTATTTCGCTCTATTAAATCTTGCAACTTCACTCTTCTGGTCCATGTTTGTTACAGCTTGAGCTGAGCTTTCACTCACCATCCACCACTGCTGTTTGCCACCATCGCAGACCCACCACTGACTCCCATCCCTCCGGATCTGGCAGGATGTCCTCTGTGCTCCTGATCCAGCGAGGCACCTTTTGCGGCTCCCCATCAGGCTAAAGGCTTGCCATTGTTCCTGCACGGCTAAGTGCCCAGGTTCATCCTAATTGAGCTGAACACTAGTCACTAGGTTCCACGGTTCTCTTCTGTGACCCACAGCTTCTAATAGAGCTATAACACTCACTTCATGGCCCAAGATTCCATTCCTTAGAATCCGTGAGGCCAAGAACCCCAGGTCAGAGAACACGAGGCTTGCCACCATCTTAGAAGCAGCCCACCACCATCTTGGAAGTGGCTCCCCACCATCTTAGAAGCTCTGTGAACAAAGACCCCCGGTAACAGAACCGTGAAAGACCCTGAGTAGCAAAAACAAACAAACAAAAAATCCTGAACAAAAAGAACAAAGCTGGAAATATTACACTACACGACCACAAATTATACTACAAAGCTAGAGTAACCAAAACAAGATTTTGGCAAATGCACACTCTCTCACGCTCTCTCTCACACACACACACGCACGCACACATAGACTAATGGAACAGAATAGGTAACTCAGAAATAAATCCACACACAGCCAACTGATTTTCAACAAAAGTATTAAGAACAGATATTGGGGAAAGGATGGTCTCTTCAATAAATGGTGCTGGAAAAACCACTTATCCCAGTGCAGAAGAATGAAACTAAGCCACCATCTCTCATCATATACAAAAATCAACTAAAAATGGGTTAAAGACTTAAACATAAGCCCCGAAACTATAAAACTACTAGAAGAAAACAAAGGAGAAACACTTCAGGATATTGGTATGGGCAGGGATTTTTTTGATAAGAACTTAAAAGCACAGGCAACACAAGCAAAAACAGACAAATGAGATTACATTGAACTAAAAAGCTTACATATAACAAAGGAAACAATCCACTGAGTGAAGAGACAACTTACAGAATGGAAGAATATACTTTTAAATTATGCATCTGACAAGGGGTTAATATCCTGAATGTATATGGAACTCAAACAATTCAACAGCAAAATTCAAACAAACAAAAACAAATAATTTGATTTAAAAAATGAGCAAAAGACCTAATAGACTTTTCTTAAAGAAAGACATAAAAAGAGCCAATAGGTATATGAAATATATGCTCAATATCACTAATTGTCAGGAAAATACAAATCAAAACCACACTGAGATATCACTTCACCCAAATTAAAGTGACTGTAATAAAAAAATAACAAATGCTGACGTGGATGTGGAGACATGAGAACCCTTATATACTGTTGGTAAAAATGTAAATTAGCACAGCCATTATGGGAAACAGTATGGAAGTTTCTCAAAAAATTAGAATTACCATATGATTAGTAATCCCATACTGGATATTTACCCAAAGGAATTGAAATCAGTATGTTCAAGAAATGTCTGCAGTTCCGTTTATTGCAGCATTATTTACCACAGCCATGATATGGAATCAGTCTAAGTGTCCATCAATAGATGAATGGATAAAGTAATTGTGGTCTATATACACAATGGAATATTATTCAGCCATAAAAAGAACAAAATGCTGTCATTTACAGCAAGAAAGATGAACCTGGAGGTCATGTTAAGTAAAACAAGCCAAGTGCAGAAAGACAAATACCAGGTGATCTCATTCATTTGTGGTATTTTGAAAAGTTGATCTTGTAGACATACAGAGTAGAAAGTGGTCATGGAGGCTGAGGATGATAGTGGGGAGGAAGGAGTGGAAAGCAATTGACCAGTGGGTACTAAATTACAGATAGGTAGGAATAAGGTCTGGTGTTGTATTGCAGTAGAGTGACTATAGGTAACAATATTGTATCAAATATTTCAAAATAACTAGAAGAGAGGATTTTGAATGTTTGAATCACAAATAAATAATAAATGTTTGAGGTGATGGATAAGCTAAACACCCTGATTTAATCATTATACAAATATATGTGTATCAAAACATCACACTGCACCCCATAAACATGTATAATTCTTATGTGCCAATTAAAAATAAAACAAAAAATATGGCTGAATCATGACATATGAATATGTCAGTCATAGTATAGAAATCAGATATTTATACTATGTACTTTGATAAATCCTTACTGTGAACATTGGTAAATTTCATGGTGCATTCAAAATGCATCTTTATGTCTAATTTAAATACTGCATTCTATAACTCACCTTTGTACATTGAAAATGGATAAAAATGGATCATTTGAGTGAAAATCATTATGGTTTCTTGAATAGGAATCTTCCAGAGAGTTATTAATAATCTTCATTTGACAAGTAGTTTCAATTAATGGGTATACCCAACAACCTGCTGAGGCGGATAGGATGTTTACTTTTCCATAGCGAAGCTTGTTGTTTGGGGAAGTTAAGTGACTAAGGTCACAGGGTGAGTCAGAATCAAGACACAACTCCAATATTCCACAAATTCTCTCCAGTCTCAGCATGTCCCTTGAAAAGGAACAAATGGAAATTCACCATTGAATAATGGCTTTATAATTAACTTCACACACAACATTTCAATAAAAATTCACTGCTACTCAATGAGAGTAGTAGTATTTCTATTTTAATGATAAAGAAACACAGGCTCAAAAATTAACCTTTCAGGTTTATTGGTTTGGGCTTGGAAAGTGGTGACAGGCAAATGTGAAGGATAGTTTTCTGATACTTAGCTTTTGGAATAATGTAGCGTCATAGAGGATTACCACTTTCAAAGAAGACAACGGCTTTGTCCTCTTTTTCTCTCGTGACAGGATACTTAACAATTCTTGTTTTGGTTTAATACGTGTAGAAATACAATTCAAATTCTAGTCAAGCCAGTGAGTTTCTCCAGTAAGGAGACCATTAAAAAGAAGGTAAACTTAAAATTGCTAAACAGATCATTAAATGAAGCTGGAGTTTGATATAGGACCTGCGTAGGGGAAAGTGGGGAACTGATATTGTAACAATATCAAAATACTATTGAGAAGGTACAATTGGGTGAATGTAGCTAGCATTAATGATGCAATAAAAGTCACACATGACTTGTGTCTGAAGACCTACAGGGGGAAGGGGTCTTTTATCCTAGGTTACAGTAGTTCCTTCTTATCCACAGTTTTTGTTTCTGTGATTTCAATTATCCATGGTCAACCACAAACTGAAAATATTTTGAGAGAAAGAGAGAAAGACCACATTCACATATTTTCATTACACTATATTGTTATAATTATTCTATTTTATTATTTGATATTGTTAGTCTCTTACTGTGATTAATTTTCAAATTAAACTTTATCATATGTATGCAAAAGAAAAACAGTATATATAGGTTTTGATAATATCTGTGGTTTCAGGCATCCACTGGGGCTTTTGGAATGCAGTTCCTGCAGATAGGGGGATCTACAGTGCTGAGTTGAAATCTTCTGTATGCTTCTATATAAAGTTGCTGGATAAATTTGTTTCTGTTTCAATTCTATATATCTTCAGAGGGGTTAGTTCCTAATTTCCTTGCATTTGGAAAATAATGAGCACTCTGCTAAAATTTTAGCTTGTTCATTGGATTTATTTATTCCCCCCTCATTTTTTTTGAAAGAAAATGTTTTCCCTTCCCTTCCCTTCCCTTCCCTTCCCCTCCCTTCCCTCCCCTCCCCTCCCCTCCCCTCCCACTCCTCCTCCCCCTCCCCCTCCCCCTCCCCTTTCCCTTCCTTTCTCTTTTCACTTTTCCTTTTCCTTTCCAAAAGGTTCCCCTCTGTTGGCCAGGCTGAAGTGCAGTGGCACAATCTTGGCTCAAGGCAGCCTCTGCCTCTTGGGCTTAAGTGATCCTCCCACCTCAGCCTCCCAAGTAGTTGAGACTACAGGTGCATGCCACCATGCCCTCCTGGCTATTTTTTATATTATTTGTAAAGATGGGTTTCCATCATATTGCTCAGGCTGGTCTCAAACTCCTGGGCTCAAGCGATCCTCCCATTTCAGCCTCCCTGGGATTACAGGTGTAAGCCACCATGCCTTGCCTTCCCTCCCCTTTTTTAGATGGGATTTGAGTAGATAAATAAGACCAAGAAAAAGAGTAGAACACAAATATGCAAAGTCAAGGAATAATCTAGCTTTATAACAGAGTTCATCTTTTGTTTTGAGCTTCCTTCCAATTTGATCAAAAGTGACAAGTTCACTGAACTTTAATAGATATTTTTTTCTGGAGCTTGACAAAGGAAACTCCCAATGATCAATGAAAATGATATTCAAAAGCATTTTTCAGGGATTCAATCATTTCCCTGACTCTCCTAGATAACTTTAATAAAACCAAAAGGCTTAATGTAGTGCAACTCAGGGCAAGCAAATCTATGAGGCCTAAGCTAAGTGATCTACATGATACAAAAACCTGATGGTCTTTTTCAGTTCAAGGACAGAATTTTTGTACCAACCTAGTGGAGTGTGGCTAGGATGCCCCTAAGCAATCTTCCCTTTTGTTAAGAAAGAGCTGGAGGGCAGATATGAAGGTTAGGCTTTCTAACTGTTGAGAGCTGAGAGGCGCCACTAACATGCAGTATAAAGAAAGAGCCAGGACACAAAAATCTTGGCTCAATGACAGCAGCTCTGGGCAGAGAGGTTATCCAGCAGCATTAAGCTAGCTTACCCCATGGCCTGAAGCCACAGCTCCAGTTATTGCAGCAGCTTCCAAATCTGCAGTCCTTGGCTCTTGCTTGGCTATACTCTGGCATCCCTACTGCACAGCTCTGCTGGCTTTTTGGCCCTTGCTGTCCTTCACATCACTGCTTCTTGGATCATAGACTGAACTGAGAGCCAATTCCAAATCTCCAGTACCAATTCCCACTTCAACTTGGCTGATTCCAAACTTGCCAATTTTTGTGAAGGACCACAGAGGACAAAAGCCAGCCTGGTGGTGATCTGGTATATCATATTGGCCATTGATTGAAGTTGTAAGTGTTAGAGACAAAATGAGTTATTTAGTACTGAGGTGCTCTCATGAAAGAGAAGGCCATCTTTTGGGGAGAAAGTCTAGGCTTTCCTGGGGTGCAGATGGTGGTGGCAGGGCTGGCTCACTCTGTTCATACATGGCTGATCCAGATCTCAAATCCATGTCCACTATCCCATAGCTCAAAGTTGTTTTTTGTTTTAAGTAAACCAAAGCCTATTAGCTTTTTGCCTTTTAAAATTCACACGGATACAAATTCATATAATTTTAGGTA
This sequence comes from Homo sapiens, assembly GCF_000001405.40. NCBI lineage: Eukaryota > Metazoa > Chordata > Mammalia > Primates > Hominidae > Homo > Homo sapiens. The sequence goes on from NC_000002.12 coordinate 156,650,394, forward strand.
TATTAGTAATAATCCAGTTTAAAGGCTAGTAACGTGCAGATAGCCTATGATTCAAATTGGCCCCACAGATAACATTCCATGTTCTTAACACACACACACACACACACACACACACACACACACACACCCCAAAATAAACCAAAACTTGAATTCATAATCAATTTGTAAAATTTAGAAGACTTCATGTTTAAATCTAGATGTTCATATTTCTTTAAAATTAGATGTGCCGTATTTGGACTTACCTTCCCATATGCCATAAACAGCTGAAGCTGAGTGGCTTTGGCCCATGTTAGACCAATCATACACTCTCTAATTCCCTATCACCACCCCCTCCCAGTCTCCCTGACATGGGGTCTGCCACAGTCAGCTTGGGCTGCTATAACCTTAGATTTGTTGCTTAAACAACAGAAATCGGCCAGTCGCGGTGGCTCATGCCTGTAATCCCAGCACTTTGGGAGGCCAAGGCTGGTGGATCATTTGAGGTCAGGAGTTCGAGACCAGCCTGGCCAACATGGTGAAACTATGTCTCTACTAAAAATACAAAAATTAGCTGAATGTGGTGGCACCCACCTGTAATCCTAGCTACTCGGGAGGCTGAGGCAGGAGAATTGCTTGAGCCTGGGAGGCGGAGCTTGCGGTGAGCCGAGATCACACCATCGCACTCCAGTCTGGGTGACAGAGTGAGACCCTGACTCACAAAAAAAAAAAAAAAAGGAAAAGAAAAAGAAATCAATCTTACCACAGTTCTGGTTGCTAGAATTCAGATGGGTGTGTGGACAGCATGGTTGGGTTCTGGTGAGGTCTCCCTTCCTGGCTTGAAAAGGGCAGCCTTTTCACTGTGTTCTCACATGGCAGAAGGTGGGGAGGGGTGGAAGCTCTCAAGTATCTCTTTTTATAAGGACACTAATCCCATTATGGAGGCTCCACCCTCATGACCTCATCTAGCCTAATTACCTCCCAAACACCCCACCTCAATACTATCACATTGGGAGTGAGGCCTCCAACATGCGAATTTTGGAGGCACACATTCAGGCCATGACAGGCTCAAGGGTCAGTTACCATTGATCATATTGCCAGTCACTCCACCCTTCATGCACCAATATTACCTGCTCATGCACCCTTCATGCACCGATATTACCTGAAACCATTGAGCATGAGATCACCTGAGGTCATCCCCAGAGCACATTTTACCACTGAGGAATCTAAAATCCACAGAAGTTGTCTCAACCCCGTTGGTCAGGATTAGATCCAACTGGCCTGGCTTTAAGTTTAGGAATATTTTTTCCTTTCCTGATATATCTTACTTTCCACATTTCTGTAGATTGATGTTTTATAATCAATGAGAATAATAATAAGCACCATATGTTAGATATTTACCTGTTATATCAAATCAAATGCATTAATATACTTTATTTTCTTCATAGATAATCAAATGTAAATGGTTTTGGGAATCTCCATATGTATATCATTTTCCTTATGATATCATTCTTCAAAATTTTATCTTTTCTTTTTTTCTATAGACATTATAAATATTCTCCAAGATTAATTGGAGAGTTATTTTGGAGAGTTATTTTGGCAGGGAGATGTATAATGATTCACTTTATCTCATCAAAACACATTAGTTCAAGATATGAAGCCTTGTTTACATGACTTAAAACAAATCAGACATTTCATTCAAAACATGTAATTTCATAAAAAGTCAGGAAACTAATTGCTTAACATAAATTTACCCAAAAATACAATGCATTGCATTTATGGATCACTTTGCTAGCATTGCTCTATTGTCTATTTGTCTATGCCAGATGTGAGTAATAGCCTTGAAGATGTGTTACTCAAAGATCATTTGAAAAATGCCCAGAGAAGAGTCATAAAATTCATTCTATAGAATTGATGCTGGGAACTGAAATGACATTTTCAGGAGATACATGAAAATGGGAACAGAAACTTGAGTGTCTAAGTGGAGAAAGGCTAAGCAGACTTGGAATGATACATCTCTCCTCTCCTCTCCTCTCCTCTCCTCTCCTCTCCTCTCCTCTCCTGTCCTCTCCTCTCCCTAATCCCCTACAAAATAAGAAATACAGTGCAGACTGTATCAAATACATAAAGTAAGAAAAGACTCATTCATAAAACATACATCAGTACCCACTTCCTTATTTTCTCTCTCATGTTTTTGTTGTTGAGTAAAGACAGTCCCAAACTCCTTCCAAAATGGCCCCAAGCAAAGGAGAGAATGTATTTTAAGCTTTATTTCACTATGCATTAACTTTTATATACTTTTTCCTTTTTTGAAACAATATTTTTAAATAGAAAACTTAGAAAATAAGAAATAGTATAAAAAATTATTATTGGAAAAAAACCCCTGTAAAAAATATCTAAATTGTACATGTTCTTGCTGGTGAAATCTGAGTCCTGCAGCAGACTTCCCAAAGCATATTGGCTCTGGGTTTCTGGGGGAAGGTGCTCTGGATCTCTTTTAAAAAGCACACATGCTGCTCCATGTGGTGCAGCAGCTGCTAAGGTAATGATGCATTTTTAGTGAAAAAATACCATAAATAAACATACAAAAAATCATATGAAACTCTCCAACTAAGCACAAAATTTGGCAGCAAGTTTAGAATCTAAAAAAAAAATTATAACTGATAAGATAATGTACCAGCCCAACCATTTCCAAATCTTATTTCTACCTACATATTTATGCACATATTTATATAACACATATCACCATTATATTTACCTTTCCAACATGCCTGAGAACTTAATCCATGATTTCCAATGTTAATATATTCCAAAGGTATGGAGGACTCACGATTAAATGCCTCTGCCACTACATAAAATTAGTTAGCAATGAATTAACTAATTATATAATCAACGACTTTCTTTTGTTTCACTAAATTAAATGAAGACTTTTTTTCTGAATGATGACTGTAAGTCATTATTAGAAAATAAAGATGTTTTTCTATTTTCTTCTAATTATTAGCTATTTCTAAGGTACACTAAAAAGACCTGAAGTGGTTTATATGTACAGAAGAATCTAAATCTCTGTACTAATTTCACTTTATCTGAAATGACTCAACTAAAGTCATCAATTCATTCATAGGATAGTTTAAAACCACATTAACTGTAATTAGCAGAGAAAAAATAATTAACTGGCAGAATAGAAGCACTAAAAAGATCTCGCAGCTGACCAGATTTATAAAAATTAATATCATACAACATACTAACATCTGGATTGAAAGGATTCAATATACTAAGTTTAACAGGTAGAACTATCAAGGTGAAAAGACTCTTAAATAATAAAATTAATACATCCAATAACTGTCTGTCAATCACTTAAACAAAATTTAAGTGCAGAGAGTGGAACAACTGCATAGTCTTTACATTAGGTGATCTATACAAGGTCTAAGAGCATTATTCAGAACTTTGACTAGAAATTATTTATTTATGATTCTAGTTTGCTATACTTGTGAAACTGGTTTAGTAAGGACATTGGCAATCCACCAACTTTAGGAGTTGTGAGGGAAGTTTGTTAAAAGGAGGAATGAAGACATAAATGAAAGAGAAGAAGGCAAGAATGAATAGTAGAAATGCTTTGGAGATTAGGTTAAAAAAGAACAACAAATTCTATATGGTTCCATCTTTATCTTTCCTTCCCTCCTTTCTTTCTTACCTTCAAACCACTTTGATTTTCCTTCCTCTTTCTTGCCTTCCAGTTAGGTATGAGGTGAGCCAGATAGGAGGTCTGCAAAAAATATACACCCACTACATCTACTAATATTGTGTGTATGCACATGTCATAAATTATACAGTGATGGAATACCCAGATGGGCCTGACATGTATTAGGGACACTAATATTTTGAGAGAAGTCCAACTTCAATTAACTTATCCAGAATTTTACAATAAAAAATTTAGAACAAGCTATTTTAAGCAAATAAATATGGATGATTTTTGTTTAATGACTTAATATTGTTTTCTTTGAGCTATATTTGGAGGTACAATCATTTCAATGCTTAGGGATTGAGGTTTTAATATAATCTGTTTTATGTTTTATGTTTCTGATACATCCCAAAATATTCCATCCTAGATAATGCTGGTCTACAACAGTTAAGTCTTTCCAGTGTTTCCAATAACCTATTGTTATCAGGTTAGATGCCTCCCTAAATCAAACTTATTTAAAAGAGAGCTATAGTATAGTAGGTGTGTGAATTTGCATGTACTCACATCTACACAAAACAAAACCTTTTTGCAGGTAGATCTAAAATAGTTCTCCATAACATTGTAGGTTTTAACTATCCCAAATTTGGTTGTGATTATAATGAATTGGTTAAAGTAAAATACAAATGTCTTTCATAGAATAAGATGACACTTTTATTTATTAATAAAATAAATACATAGAAACTAGTGCACAAAAATTATCTATGTAGCTCTGGATTAACTAATATGTTATAGAAACATAATTTTTATTGTGTTTATGTAATATGGAAAACCCAAACCAAAAATCTTTATTGTATCATGTTTAAATATAGATTTCCTGTTTTTCTGTTTTTTTTTTTTTTTGTAACTCCAATTTCATTTTTTAAATGTGGATATTATGGCATTTATTCTTTGAAAACCTCACAGTGCCCAGGTCTCAACTCCAGAGAATTTAATTAGTCTGAGATGGGACCTAAACACTGGGGTTTTAAAAAGCTCCCCAGGTGATTTTTATGTGTGGCCAGGACTGAAAACCACTGCATTGGAATTTGAGCATCAACCTTGAGGTCAATTGCATTATGAGCTAAATTCAATGCTGAACAATGGCATGTATGATTCAAGTCTTGAGGTTCATCTTTCTCACATTTCTCTGTCCCTCCTCTATTTTTCACTTACAATCTATTTATTATGATTCAAACTTTAAACTAGAGGAGATCATTAATCATGGATATAATTTAGTGACAGCAGGGTCATGTCCCACTAAGTAAGTACACCTTGTTTGCCTCAAAATGCTAATCGTTTTTCTGCAACATTAATGAGGAACAATTGATATGAAGCCTAACAACCTAGTTGCTGTTTTATTGAAATAAAGTACTCTATTAGATTATGGCAAAACACAGCAAGGTTTAATTATGCAAAATTCTGAATCATATAACACCATACTTATGAAATTTTGGCACCAAGGAAGAGGGGAATTTTAATGACTTTCAAGATTTTCTGGAAAGAAGATTACAATTATAGAAGTTGTTACCTTGCATCTTCCCTGCAATAAGATATATCATTCTCAGGATAACTAATATTTCAGTTGCCTTTGCTTTTAGCTGTGAGGTTGTTAAAAGAGGAGATCCCCATTTTTCTTCTCTGAATATCTGCTGTTGCTTCCATTTATTCATTTAGAACTGTCTATTTTAAAAGAAAAGACCTCAAATTTACAACAGCAAATACAGAAGACCAAACTTAGGAACAGTTGGGAGGAACTACAGAATTTGTCCTCTCTGCTTATAATCTTGCAAACCTTTGAGATTCCTTGTGGTAGTATGAATTTCATGGTAGCATTTTACTTCACTGCTTTTGTAGTCTTAGAAAAGACCTCAAAGCAAAGTAACCAAGCATGTAATATAGCTTGTGTTTAAAGTTACTGTGTTTAGGCCGGGTGCGGTGGCTCTCGCCTGTAATCCTAGCACTTTGGGAGTCCAAGGCAGGTGGATCACCTGACGTCAGGAGTTCGAGACCAGCCTGACCAACATGGCGAAACCCTGTCTCTACTAAAAATACAAAAATTAGTTGGGTGTGGTGGCACGTGCCTGTACTCCCAGCTACTTAGGAGGCTGAGGTGGGAGGATCGCTTGAACTTGGGAGGTGGAGGTTGCAGTGAGCCGAGATTGTGCTGTTACACTCCAGCCTGGGTAACAGAGTAAGATTCCGTCTCAAAAATAAATAAATAAATAATAAATAAATAAATAAATAAAGTTACTGTGTTTAAAGATGTTTTCTCTGAATCACCCTTAGAACAAATTACAACTTAAAAACATACTATTATTAGAGTGTTTTTATGAACATTATAAAACGTGTTTTTGGCAACGTGTATTGTTGGACTTTACGGGACACCATTGCACTTTTAAATCTCCCCGATTTGATCCCTTGTCTCTATTGGCACCTATTTGAATCTTGATAAAAAATGATAACTAATTTTTATACTATTTACAAAGATTGTTTAAGGCTAGCAATGATGAGTCCTTTAGTATGTTTCAGTTCCAAGAAATATGATTGTCTTTAAGACGACAGCACAGGGCCGGGTGCGGTGGCTCAAACCTGTAATCCCAGCACTTTGGGAAGCCAAGGTGGCGGATTACCTGAGGTCAGGAGTTCAAGACCAGCCTGGCCAACATGGAGAAACCCCGTCTCTACTAAAAATACAAAAAATTAGCTGGGCATGGTGGCAGGCACGTGTAATCCCAGCTACTTGGGAGGCAGAGGCAGGAGAATCGCTTGAACCCGGGAGGCAGCGGTTGTAGTGAGCCAAGATTGTGCCATTGCACTCCAGCCTGGGCAACAAGAGAGAAACTCCATCTCAAAACACAAAACAAAACAAAACAAAAAACAAAGGAAAAAAAAGAAGAAGACAGCACAAAATACATTGATTTAGTTCAGACTCTGAGATCAAGTGATAAATAATAAATGATAAAAATCCATGTGAGAGTAGGTGAAAGGGTCAGGTCATGATTTATTGAGAAATTTTCCATTTCCCAACTGAGATGAACTTGGATAGTCTTAATTATGAAAATAACTTGCAATTGGCATCTGTGCATTAGTTGGTGTGTGTGTGTGTGGTTGGAGGTGGGTGATGTGATATCGGTTGATTAAGTAGATGAACTTTTTGCAGGCAGGGATTACATACTATTAACCTGTGCATTCCCAGTGCCAAGTACTGAACCTGGTACATGTTAATAGCTATTCAATAGAAGTTTACTAAATTATTTATAATGGAAAGAGGAAAAACATGGATAATGGAAGCACTCTTAGAAAAGCAAAATATGATATTTGTTCTCTAAAATTCTCCTTGCCTCAAGTGAGAAAGTATTGTCCTAATTAAGTTCAATATATCCCAAAGAGAAATATTTTTAAAAAGTTGAAGGTTACAATTTTCAGTAGTTTAGGAGGCATCCAGGAAGAAGATAAATGCATGTTTTTATTATGTTTAGTCATATAAAAAATTATTGTCTGGAATATATAGAAATTTATATAGACTATTGGACTCTGAATTTCCTCTCCTTTTTTCCTGAGTTGATCCATTACATAAGAAAATTTTCAAGAAGAGAAAGAGATGGCATCTACTGTACAGGGAGAAGGAGAAGGGCTTTCTGAAGTGTTCTGAATGATGGCTGTGATTGAAAGGCCCAGTTTCAAATAAGACAAGACCATCTTTGGAGCTCCACAGGATGCCACTGTTCACTGCTATTGAAAAACTGTTTGAAACCAGTGGATCAATCTGGTGTTTTTAAGCTCTAGTTTGAATGAAGCTATTTATTTCTGAGTGTGTTTCATCATCTTCACTAAAGACTAGAATTTGTGGGGGCAGATTTCACTATCTTTTTTGATAGGCTTTGAAATGACATGGGTGTCGTAACAGGAAAATGCAGTCTGTGTTTCGACATCAATGACTTGGGCTTAGACATGTGCATATAATGCACTCTTAAAAAATCTCCTAACCAGAGAGACACCATGCTCAAGATGTTCAGATGGGAGCAAGCACCATGAGTTATGCAAGACTTGAGGTCTAGAAGAATGTTTTGTTTTTCAAGGAGGCTGGAAGCTTGTGGCCAATTATCTCCTATGTTGATAAGGAATTAATAAAAAGCTCATCAATAAAATGTCTGTTTTCAATTCTATGGTAGATAGGACAATAGCAAGTACAGAAGACCAGACCTAGGGGCAATTGGGAGGAACTATAGAATTTGTCCTCTCTACCTGTAATCTTGCATATCTTTGAGATTTCTTATGGTAGTATGAATTTCATGATAGCATTTTACTTCACTGCTTTTATAGTCTTAGTCTGTTTACAAAATAAAAAATTTGATCCTTCCCTTTTTAATGTACAGATATAAAAAATTTTAATTTTCCTTATGAATCATAGGCTTTCTGAATCTATCAAAATGAAAATTATTTAGAAAGCAATATAATAAGCCAGATTTCCACAATAAATTATTTTTCTTTATCCATTTATTTCTTTATCCTTTTAAGTAACACAAAATTCATTCTCCAGTTTATTTATTTATTTTTTATTTTTACAGAGATGGGGTATCGCTATGTTTGCCAAGTTTGTCCTGAACTCCTGGCCTCAAGCAATCCTCCCACCTGGGCCTCCCAAAGTGCTGAGATTACAGGCATGAGCCACCACTCCCAGCCCTCCAGTTTATTAGTTCATTCTCTTACACTAAAGCATGTCTGAATTAGGAGATTCATATACAGGAGAATATTCTTAGGAGAATAAAGCACAGATCTTGTTCTCAATAAAATGTTAGGCAAATACAATATTTAGATGTTTTATCATTTATATGTGTTTTGGTTTTCTATTGCCACTTAAGCCACAACGTTAGTGGCTTAAAATATCACTCATTTATTATCCCACAGATTTGTAGCTCAGCAGTCTGGACAAAGCATGGGTAAGCTGGTTTTTTCTCCCAGTTTTTACAGGCTGAAGTCAAGATGGTGGCCAGTTTGCATTCCTTTCTGAAGGTTCTGGGGATGAATCTGCTTCCAAAGTGTTTCAGGTGGCTGGCAAACTTCAGTTCCATGTGGTTGTAGATGCAGACTGAGGTCCCTGTTTATTTACCGGTTGCTGGCCTGGGATTGTTTGTAGTTTCTACAGGCTTTCTGCATTCCTTATTTTGTGAACCCCTTCCTTAATCACCAAAGCTAGGATTGACAGGGAAAGTCTTTCTTTTGCTTTGAATCTCTCTGATTTCCCACTGTGCCTGATTCTTCTGTCTTCCTCTTTTGCTTTTTAGGGCTCATGTGGTTACGCTGGAGCTACCCCAGATAATCCTAGGTAATCTCTCTATTTTAAGGTCAGTTGATTAGTAACCTTAATTCCATGTACAAAGTCCTTTCATAGAAGTAGATTTGTACTGAATAACCACTACATGGAAATCTTGGAGGACATCTTTAGAATTCTGCCTATTACAATATGCACACAGAAAAAACAAGAAATGTATTAAATTGTTTTTTTTTTTGTTTTTTTTTTTTTTTTTTTTTTAGAGATGGAGTCTTACTGTGTTGCTCAGGCTGACCTCAAACTGCTAGGCTCAAATGATTCTCCTACTTTAGTCTCCCAAGTAGCTGGGACTACAGGAAAGTACCACTGTGCATGGCATTAGAAATGTATTTTCTATGTGAAAGCCAACTATAGAAATTATGCCAGTACTTCATTCCATTGCAACATAAGACTGTGGAATTTTTCCAATGCTGCTTGAACACCTCCACTGGCATTTCATCTCATTGCGAGGAAGAGGCAAAGTCCTCATAATGGCTTACAAAGCTTTGCGTGATCTGGGCCAACACTACCGGTCACCAGTGTCCTGTCTCTTTCCCCCTGGATACTCCAGTCCAGTCCAGACTGTCAGGACTTCTGTCTCTTCTCTCAGTACAGCAAGCATGTTGCACATATTGGCTTTGCATTTGCTACAATCTCCACCTGTAATTACTTCTCCCTCCAGTGTTCACATGGCTTTCTCTCTACCCTCCTGGAAGTCATGGCTCAAATATTACTTTCTTAGTGAGGGCTTTCCTGACCATGTTTTTACAATTTTAATTACTGCTCAACCCACACATTTCCTATCTTTCTTTCTTGCCTTATTTCTGGCCCTCTTCTGGCAATTGTCAGCTATGAATCAGTTACTTATTTATTCGATTAGCTTCATAAAAGTAGACATTTTCATCTATCTTGTTCACTGCTGTATCCGTATTCCAGCACCTAGAATGTCTGGCATATGGTAAGTACTCAACAAAAATTTGTTAAAAGAATGTCGAATGAATTAAGATAATGAGCCCAGATTCTCATTTTCTGAGTTGCTAAGTTAATTCTTTATTTAGTGAAAGGGTGTATATTGTCATAAATTGTTTGAGTTCATTCTTTACCTCCTCCCCACACTATCCTTCTCCCACTCTATCAATTTTAGCAGTAAAATCATGAAATAAGAGAGATTTTGAAAGAAAATTAAAACATGAAATGCATTCACTTCCTTTTATTTCCGGGTATTTTCTTCTTTATATATTTTTTTCTTTCAATTTATTACGAATAATTCTTCACCTCAAGTTGTGGCAAACTTATAAACGTTTTCATTAATGGCCCCAAAAAGTAATGGCATACCTAGTGTTGCATTCAGTGTTGCCCAACTGTCACCATTTCTCTTTCTTTTACTATTATAGTCAACTGAATAATATTGATGCCCTTCATTAATGCACTTTACATTTTTTTAATAAAACCTCTTGTCAACATGTTATGCATCTGGTGTGGTCCAGTTTGAAGGAATAAATGTTATAGAGCAGGGGTCCCCAACCCCTGGTCCATGGCCTGTTAGGAACCCAGCCACACAGCAGAAGGTGAGTGGCAGGTGAGCGAACATTACCACCTGAGCTCCACCTTCTGTCAGATCAGCAGCGGCACTGGATTCTCAGAGGAGCGCCAAACTTCTTGTGAACTGTTCATGTGCGGGATCTAGGTTGTGTACTCCTTATGAGTATCTAATGCCTGATGATCTGAGGTGGAACAGTTTCATTCCCAAACCGTTCTCTCCCTCCCCTGCATCCATGGAAAAATTATCTTCCATGAGACCAGTGCCTGGTGCCAAAAAGTTTGGGGATCGCTGTTACAGAGTAACCAATTTTGATCTTTAAGCATTGGTAATTTCAACAGTACTGTGCCTTTATATAGCTTTAGCACTTTCTTTTGTCATGGTAACTAGATGTATACATTTTCTCACCTCATTCTATCATAGGTTATCTATCATGATGTCTGCCACTGGGCCATAGCGGTTAAATGTCAATGTTCTCCAGTTTTTATCCTCCCGTTTCTACTATCGTCACTCTAACTTCCCAATGAGAAGCCTTACCTACTCCAGTGATTTCCACTGTTAACTCTATGCTGATATCTTCCCAATATACAGGCCCACAATTTCATGGGCTCCAAATCCTGGGATTTGTGCAAGTGCTTCTTATACCACATGTCAAAAAGCAAGCTCAGCCATTGCACTTTGCTCCTCTTCCTTTGTTGATCTATCTCTGTTACACTTCTATCCTCTCAGTCACCAAACCTTGAAACCACGGAAACATCTTTGACATTTCCTCTAGCCCTCTCCCCTCCTTCCCACACGTCTGATCACAAACTAATCCCTTTGAATTCTGCTGTTGAAATAACTCTCTGATCTGTTTTTTTCTTTCTGCTACTGCTTCTTTAGTACTTCAGGTGCCTACCTACTCTACTCCACCAGTATCTTTTTTTTTTTTTTTTTTTTTTTTTGAGACAGAGTCTCGCTCGGTGGCCCAGGCTGGAGTGCAGTGGCGCGTCTCCGCTCAGGGCAAGCTCCGCCTCCCGGGTTCACGCCATTCTCCTGCCTCAGCCTCCCGAGTGACTGGAACTACAGGCTCCCGCCACCACGCCCGGCTAATTTTTTTGTATTTTCAGTAGAGACGGGGTTTCACCGTGTTCGCCAGGATGGTCTCAATCTCTTGACCTCATTATCCGCCCTCCTCGGCCTTCCAAAGTGCTGGGATTACAGGCGTGAGCCACCGCGCCCGGCCTACTCCACCAGTATCTTAACTGACCTACTAGTTTCTGCTTTTTCTGATTTTTTTCAAAGTATAGATCAAGCATGCCTTCAACATGACTCATCAAGGCCATCACGCAGAATTTAAAATTATCTTAACTTTCATTATGGTATTCAAGACCTTCCTAATTTGAGCCCACATTTATTTTTCAAATTTATATTCTATCTCTCTACCTAAAACAAAAAGTAATGTATCATTTTCTAAGCAGATGTTATCATCTTAAACGTTTGTGCCTTTGCTTAGGTTTCCCCTCTTGCTGGAATTTTCTTCATCTACTTCCTGGCCTTCTATGCCCACCTTCCCACCCTAGCACAACACAACTTCTAAGTCTAGATTCAATATACCTCTTTGGTGAAATCTCCCTTGACTTCCCCAAATGAATGTTCTTTTTCTATGGTGCTAAATCACTTCATTCATAACTCTTTTAAAGCCCCCACGATATTTTGGTAGTTTTTATTGTCTATTTACCTCCAAACTTGTGAGTTCTTTGACAAGACTGGCCGTGTCTTTTTTTTAATCTTAGTATCCCATGCATGAAGCAAAACTCCTGGCATTTAGAAGATTTAGCAAATATTTGATGAAAAAAAAGAGTAGAAAGCAAATTTATAGAAACTGAACTAAAATCAACACAGCGTAATATTGCAGATGAATATAGAAGGGAGTAAACTAAAGAATCTAATCCTGGGTATTTCCTGTGAAAAATCTTACCTTCCTTTTAAAATAACTTTTACAAATATCCCCATCTTGTTTTATTGCATGAAATTAAATGATCATGCTTCATAGTAAAAGAAGTATTCATTCAATTTGTTATTATCTTCATCAGTATCATCAGCAGATACATCAGCAGATTTCTAGAGAAAGCTCTCAGTACTAGGAAACAGACAATTTTATTCAAGGGGCAGAGCATATATTGCATTCTTTAGAAAAGTCATCAAAAACTTAAGAAAACTAGTTAGTTCTCTTACAGAATGCAGAGAAATGTCATAGAATCCAATGGAATTGTGTTTAATCATCAAAGACTGGCAAAGCAAGCAGCACTTAAGAGCTGGTACCCTCATTAATGGACCTCAAACTCTACACACAAATTCATGGAGAAGTCATTAAAATATATCTTGTTAGCCTGGCCAATGCATACTAATCCTGTGGTCTGTGGGGTGTCCAGAAATCTTTATTTGTCATCAGTACCTCTACATGATTCCAACACAGGTGGCCTAAGGGCCACATTTTAAAAACAGTGATCTAGTCTCAAACATTTATTTTATAGATGAAATAATGGAATTACTTAGAAGTGGTAATTCATGTCAGAGCTAACTTTTAAGCTCAGTTTTCCATTCTTATCTTAGTATGTTTCTGGGAGGCCTTAACCTTAACCTTAATTGCTGCTAATTTTTATTCTTGCCCGTATTTTCCGTTATTGGTCTCTGTCTATTGAAATAAGGAAGAAAAAAAGAAGATTCTCATATTTGCCTTATATTTTCTCTTTTCTTCCTTTACTTTTAGAGATGAATCGGTTTCTTCTTTAGAGAAAAACCAAACCCACCTCCAAATCCCAGGAAGGCCTGTAATTTCTATATCCTTAGACTCTGCTGATTGTTTATTTGCTTCTCCAATCAATTTGTATGTATGTAAATTTTATATCACACAACATCCACACTCCTCTTCATAATACAGATAGCATTATCAACTTACCTTCCTATCAGCACAGTGCAGATGTGCAACACAACAGGTTTATTTAACAACTGAATAGCTACGTCAGTGTTGGAGGGGTGGGTAAAGAGAAACAAAGCTTTCACTTTCCTTTTGGGTTTTGTTAGTAATGACAGCTCAGCTGATAGTGTTTTCTGAGAACAAGGGGAGTCCTGATAGAGAGAACCCTCCCATTCCCATTTGATCATTCCAAGTGGAGATTTGGGACAGCCTTCCTTGCTAGGGATAGTTAAGGTATAATGGCTTCTGACCCTGTCACTGCAGCTAATTTTAGGCATCATTCTCTCTGTTGTATGTTCATGACAGCATAAGTCTCATCATTGTCTCTTGAGCTGAGCCCACTGAACACATTATGTTATCATGGGGGTTGTTCTTAAATTAAGAGCTTATTGTCCCAACCAACATCTTTCACTCACTATTTCTTTCTCATCTTTAAGATAAACATGATGGAGCTGATTTATTATATACTCATTCTTTTACTAATTAAAGTTAAGTACTTCAAATTTACAGAAGAATATAGCAACAAAGAGAACAGTCATGTACCCGTACTCAACTTTAAATAAAATCTTGACACTTTGCCAATATTTGCTTTAGATTTTATTTAAAGAAATAAATCATTACAGGTGTGGTGGAAGCTTCTTGCACAACTTTCTCCAATCTCTTTTCTCTTTCTTTTCAGAAGTAACTGCTGCCCCCAAAATGGCAATTTACTATTTCCATTCATGTTTTTATTTTATTACTACATATATACGTATCATAAATAATCACTTTGCATATTTTTAAACATTGTTATCTACATATAATTTTGCTTTTTTCACTCAATATTGTTCTGGGGATTTATTCTTGTTAATACATACAGCTCGAGGTTACTTACCTAAAATATTTTGTAATATTCCATTGTGTGTATTTTATTATTTATTATTTTCCTTATTTTCATATTTTCACTATTGCCAGCTATGTTGCAATGAATATTTTTATATGTATCTCATTTTGTGCATGTGTAAAAGTTTCTCTTGGATTTATTCCAGCAGGTGCAGTTGCTGTGTTGAATGATATGCACAAGTTCTAAATAACTGGATCTTGCCAAGGCAAATGCTTCAATCTACATGCCTAAAAGCTGTGCATGAGACTTCCTTGTGCTCCACAGTCTTACCACCATTTGAAATTGTCCAACTTTTACATTTGGATCAATAAGAACTATATCAATTTTATTGTTATTTTGAGTACTACAGCTCAGTTCAATACATAGATTGACCTTTTTGGTTTCTTTTCTGTGAATTTCCTGTTCATATCTCCTCCTTTCATCTGAAAAAAGTTTCTTTTTCTTATAAATTTATGGTTTTCAAATATTTTCAATATTAGTCTTTTGTCAGCTATATGAAATGTGATATCTCCTGTTATGCTTGCCTTTTCACTTTTAAAAATAATGTTTTTGAGTAGCTTTAAGTTTTATAGAAAAAATAGGACAGAAAATACAGAATTCCTGCATACTCCATTTCTGCCAACACAGTTTCCCCTATTATTAATATCTTGCATTAATGTAGTACATTTAATACAATTGATGGATCAATATTGATACCTTATTATTAACTAAAGTCCATTATTTACATTAGGTTTCACTGTTTTAGTGTTCACTCTTTGTGTTGTATAATTTTATGAGTTTTGACAAATGCATAAAATCATGTATCCACCATTATAGCATCATAAGGAATAGTTTTACTGTCCTAAAAATGCTGTATGCATTTATCCCTTCTTCTCTCCCCTACCTCCTAATCCCTGATAATCACTGATGTTTTTAACTGTTTCTCTAGTTTTGCCTTTTCCAGAATGTCCTGTGGTGGAATCGTACATTATATGGCCTTTTCCCACTAGCTTCTGTCATTTGCAATATACACTGAAGTGGCCTCCATGTCTTTTTGTGGCTTGATAGCTCATTTCTTCTTATCACTGAATAATATTCCATTTTATGGATATATAGCATTTTGTTTATCCATTTACCTGTCGAAGGACATCTTGGTTGCTTCCAGTTTTTGGCAATTTTGAATAAGGTTATTATAAATTCGTATGCAGGTTTTTGTATAAACACAAATTTTCAACTCATTTAGGTAAATACCTGGCAGCTTGATTGGTGGTTCATAAGATAAGCTTATGTTTAGCTTTATAAGAAACTGCCAAATTATCTTCCAAAGTGGCTGTAAAATTTTGCGTTTCCACTGATGAATAGATTCCTGTTGCACCACAGTCTTGCCAGCATTTGATACTGTCAGTGTTTTGAATTTTAGCCATTCTGATAGGCATGTTGCATTAATTTTGTTTTTTATTTTCTGTATTTTATGATGCTTTGACATCTTGGGACCTTGCAAGTTAGGGGGAGACTGCTTCTCCTAGGACTAGCTAATTCCTAGAGCTATCAAATGACTCACTTGTGAGTGTGCCTTTCACATGCCAATCAACCAATCTAAAACCCATAACTCCCAGCCACCACCTTTATGGAACTCTCAAACATAAGTCAATATTTCCCTGTCCTAACCAACCCAACCAAAGTACCAGACAACTTGGGACAGCTCTTATACCCCAGAGCCCATTAAAATTATTCAAACTAGCCAATCCTTAACCTGCTTATTTTACGTGGCCCATTTCTTCCTGTGAAAACCACACTAAAGGTTTTTGTTCATGCTTTCCCAGGGCTCCTTCTGCCTTGTGGCTGACCCTAGTGTTGCTCATGCAGCCCTGCATGCCATGGCATGCCATATGTCTGCTGTTTCTACAGATCTGTAAGTATAAAAACTTCTTCCTTCATTACAGTCGTTTAGAAACGCGTAGTGGTATCTTATTGTTTTTTAAATTTGCAAATTTCTAATGATATATAATGTTGAACATATTTTCATATGCTTATCTGCCATCTGTATATCTTTGGTGAAGTATCTGTTCAGATCTTTTGCCCATTTTTTAATTGGGTTGTTTGTTTGCTTGTTGTTGAGTTTTAAGTATTCTTTAGCTATTTTGATTATGAGTCCTTTATCAGATATGTGTTTTGCAAAGATTTTTTTCTCCCAGTCTGTGGCTTGTCTTTTCATTATCTAAACAATGTCTTTGGTGGAGCAGAAGGTTTTAATTTTAATGTTCAAGTTATCCATTTTTTTTCTTTCATGAATTGCACTTTTGGTATTACATCTGAAAAATCATTGCCAAACCCAAGGTCACCTAGAATTTTTTTTTCTCGTTTTATCTTCTAGGAGTTTTATAGTTTTGCATTTTGCTTCGGTTTTGCATTTGCATTTAGGTCTAAGACCCCTTTTAAGTTATTTTTGTGAGAGGTATAGGGTATGTATCCAGATTAATTTTTTGTATGTAGATGTCCAGTTGTTCCATTCCTGTTTGCTGAAAAGACCATCCTTTCTCCACTGTGTTCCTTTGCCAAAGATGAGTTGACAATATTTGTGTGGTATATTTCTGGGGTTTTTTTTTTTTTTTTTTTTTTTTTTTGAGATGGAGTCTCGCTCTGTCGCCTAGGCTGGAGTGCAGTGGCTTGATCTTGGCTCATTGCAACCTCTGCCTCCTGGGTTCAAGTGATTTTCCTGCCTTGGCCTCCCAAGGAGCTGGGACTGCAGGTGCCTGCCACCACACCCAGCTAATGTTTTGTATTTTTAGTAGAGATGGGGTTTCACCATGTTGGCCAGGCTGGTCTCGAACTTCTGACCTCAAGTGATCTGCCTGCCTTTGCCTCTCAAAATGCTGGGATTACAGGCTTGAGCCACTAGACCCGGCCCTATTTCTGGGTTCTTTATTCTGTTCCATTGCTCTGTTGACCAATTGGTCAATTGATCTATTTGTCTGTTCTTCTACCAGTACCACACTGTCTTATTCACTGTAGCTCTGTAGTAAGTCTTGAAGTTGGTTAGTGTCAACTCTCTGACTTTTTCTTCTTCATTATTATATTAGCAATTCTAGCTCTTTCATCTTTTGATAGGAACTCTAGAATCAATTTGTCAATGTACACAAAATAACTGTCTGGGATTTTGGTTGGGATGGCTTTGAATCTATAGTTCAAATTGTGAATAACTGACATTTAATAAATCTGAATCTTTCTATCTATGAACATGGACTATCTCTCAATTGATCAGATCTTTGGTTCTTTGTTTTTTCCAAAAATTTTTTTAGAGACAAGGTCTTGCTCTTTTGCCCAGGCTGGAGTGCATTGGTGCAATCATAGCTTACTGCAACCTCAAACTCCTGGGCTTAAGTGATCATCCCACCTCAGCCTCCCCAGCAGCTAGGATTACAGGCGTGCATCTCCATGCCTGGATAATGTTGAAATTTTGTGTAGAGATTGAGATCTTGCTATGTTGCCCAGGCTAGTTTTGAACTCCTAGCCTTAAGTGATCCTCCTGCCTCAGCCTCCTAAAATGCAGGGATTACAGATGTGAGCCACAGTGTTCAGCCATAGATATTTGAATTCTTTAATTAGAGTTTGTAGTTTTTTTCTGTATGACCTGGCACATATTTTATGAGATTTATACCCAAGTATTTCATTTTTGGTGTTGCTAATGTAAATGTTGTGCTTTAATTTTAATTCCCATTGCTCATTAATGATATATAGGAAAGTAAGTGACTCGTGTATTATTAACATCATGCCCTGAAACCTTACAACAATTGCTTATTTGTTTCAAGAGTTTTTTGGTCCAGTTTTTGGGGTTTTCTATGTAGACAATTTTGCCAACTTCACATCCCAAACTTTGTACCTTTTATTTTATTGTCTTGTCTTATTGCATTAGCAAGGACTTCTAGTATGATGTTGAGTAGGGGTGGTGAGAAGGGAAATCCTTGTCTTCATTCTGATCTTAGGGCCAAACTTGTAGTTTTTCACAATTAAATATGATGTCAGCTATGGGTGTTTTATAGATTTTTTTAATCAAGTTGAGGAAGTTCCCTTCTATCTCCTGTTTGTTGGGATATTTTCACATGAATAGGTCATGACTCTCTCGAATGTTTTTTTTCTTCGTCTATTGATATGATCGTATGATTTTTTGTTAGCCTGTTGGTGTGATGGATTACATTTAATTAATTTTTGAAATGTTGAACTAGCATTGCATACCTGGAATAAGTCACAACTGGATGTGTTGTATAATTCATTTTAAACATTGCTGGTTTCTGTCTGTTTTATACATATGTATATAAAATATAATTATATAATATGTATATAGTGTGTGAAATATATATATACAAATATATATTTGTATATGTTCATGAGAAACTTTAGTCTGTAATTTTCCTTTCTTGTATTGTCTTTGCCAATTTTTGACATTAGTGTAAGGCTGACCTCATAAAATGAGTCAGGAAGTGTTTCTTCTGCTTCTGTTTTCTGGAAGAGATTACAGAGTATTGGTATTATTTCTTTAAATGTTTGGTAGAACTTAACAGTGAAACCACCTGGGCTGGTGCTTTCTGTTAATTACTGATTCAAGTTTTTAAATAAACTGATAACTTGAATAGGCCTATGTGTATCTTTGTGTGAGTTTTGGTAGATTGTGTTTTTCAAGAAATTTGTCAGCCAGGCATGGTGGCTCATGCCTGTAATTTCAGTGATTTGGGAGACCAAGGCAGATGGAATGCTTGAGGCTAGAAGTTTAAGACCAGCTTGGGCAACATAGTGAGACCCTGTCTCTACAATTAAAAAAAAAATGAAATCTGTCCATTTCATCTAACTTATCAAACTTGTGGGCATAGACTTATCCATAATATTTATTTATTAAATTGTGGTAAAATATACATGAAATAAATTTACCATTCTAACTCTTTTATTTATTTATGTAGAGATAAGATCTCACCCTGTTGCCCAGGCTAAAGTGCAGTGGTGCAATCATGCCTCACTGCAGCCTTGAACTCCAGGACTCAAGAGAGCCTCCTGCATCAGCCCCCAAATAGCTGGGACCATAGGTGTGTGCTACCATGCCCAGCTAATTTTTAAATTTTTTGTAGAGAAGAGGTCTCACTATGTTGCCTAGGCTGGTCTTGAACTCCTGGGCTCAAGCAGTCCTCCCACCTCGGCTTCCCAAAGTGCTGGGATTACAGGCAAAAGCCACTGCACCTGGCCCTCTTTTTAATTTTTAGTTGTGGTAAAAAAACACATAAAATTGACTATCTTAAACATTTTTAAGTGCACAGTTCAGTAATGTTAAATATATTCACATTTTGTAAAACGATCCCTATCTTCCATCTCAAAAACTTTTTTCATCTTCCCAAATTGAAACTCTACACCCATTTAACAATAGTTCGCCATTGCCTTCTCCTCCGAGCTTTTGGCAACCATCATTTTACCTTCTGTCTCTGAATTTGACTGTTCTATTCACCTCATATATGTGGAATTATACAGTATTTGTCCTTTTATGACTCAGGCTTATTCACTTAGCATAATGTCTTCAAATTTAACCCACATTGTAGCATGTATCTGAATTTCATTCTGTTTTAAGGTTGAATAATATTCCATTGTATGTATATACCACAGTTTGTTTATTCATTTATCCACCAATGGGAACTTGGGTTGCTTCCACTTTTTGACTATTATGAATAATAGTCTATGAACAACAATATTCCTCTATGTCTACCTTTATGCCAGTATCACACTATTTTGATTACTGTAACTTTGAAATAAAGACACAACTTTCAACTTTGTTCTTTTACAAGATTGATTTGGCTATATGTGGTCCCTTGGAATTTGATATGAATTTTAGAATGCATTTTTTATTTCTGCAAAAATTCATTGGATGATCTATAGGGATTACATTCAATGTGTAGATTGCCTTTGGGAGTATTAACATCTTAACAATATCAACTCTTCCAACTTATTAATCACAGGATTTTTTTTTACAATTTATTAGTGTCTTCTCTAATATATTTAAGCAACATTTTGTATTTTTTACTATACAAATCTTTTGCCTCCTCAGTTATATTAATTCCTAAGTGTTTTTGTTGTTTTTGGCTGAGGGACATGCTATTGTAAATTGAATTATTTTCTTAATTTACTGTTTGGATTATTAATTGCTCATAGGTGGTTTTCTACAAAAAGTTCACAAGAAGGAATAAAAAAATTTAGCCTTGTTTAAAGATAGCATTGTTCAGAAGCAGACTGTGACTACATTACACCCCGACACAGGGTAGTGGGGAAGGGAAATTAGGCCTAGTGAATATCTCAAGTCCGGAATTAGAAGCAGTACTTCTAGTTGTCTCCTTTATTCTGGAGTAACATATCAGATGAGAAGTATGAATCTACACTGATCAATGGACAGTGGCTAACAATTTATAGAGGGTCAGGGACTTCAAGTGATTAAGATTATTGATGAAGAGGTTATTGTCCAGAAGGTGTAAAGGAGAAGTATGTAGCTGGCTTTTTGAGGAAGAAGGATGTTAATGCTCAGATAGAGAAGACTTGTTTTGTGAATGTTATTTAGCTTCTTTCTTATGATCCCTTAGTGCTTGCTTGAGCAAGGGTAAATAAAATAGCAAAAACGTAGGAATAAGAGGTTATGTATGTTGGATTAGTTAGAGTAGGTTAGACAGTGATAACAAGCAGATCTCAGATTTACAATGACCCAAACATAATAAAAATGTGTTTGTTGTGTTCATCACCATTCAAGACACATTTTTTTTTCTTGTAGGTAGGTGGCCCAGGCTCGTAAAAGACTTCCATGTTTACTAGAATGTCTGCTAACATTTTCTAGTGAATATGTAAAAGAATATGGTCGGGGCAGTCTATTGAAACAGCAACAGAATGCTATAGTTACCAAGCAAATAGAGAGAGAATTAAAATTTGCCTAGAGTCCTGCAAAAATTGTTATTCACTAGGAGTGACATGTTGGAAATTATTTCTGATATGTTTTGAGGCTTTTACTCTTCGTAAATATCCAGCCAATGTCTTTGGCATTTGAAAGTATTCCTAGAACCCTGAAAGGCTAATAATTATTGGTATAAGGGTGATTTGTTTACATGACCATCTTATCTGCTGGACTGTGTACTCCCCTAGGACAATGACCATTTTATTTGTCTTTGATTTCCAGTTTCTTAGATAGTGCCTACTAAAGCAAAGGTGCAATAAATTAGGTGAATCCACCCTAAGGGAATTTTGTATTCCTTTCAAAGAATGTGCATGGACGAAAGTAGCAAGTCATCAGACTGAGAAGGCTAGAACTAATATTGAAAACAGAATCCTGAAGTCTTTATTTCCATGCTGTCAACACATGCTATAGCAGCAGTTCTGCATTTGACTCGAGTTGAGTTAAATCTGGGCAGGGCATAGGAGACTGCTTCGTGATGAATATTTAATTCATGATAGAAAATCGCTTTAGTCTCTGGGTGAGGTGTATGAGGAGTAACATGAAAAACAATGAAAATAAATAAATCTATTTGGTATACTCATCTTTTCATAAGACGCAAAAAAAAAGCACTTTAAATCACAGTGCATGGGAAACTGCTAAAAAAGTAGAAAGAAAAAAGAGCTTACTATATGCATTAGGCAAATTCAATTTGCACATAAATTAGAAACTTGAGTAGCAACAACTCAAAGAGTGGTGAAGAAAAGCTACTGTATCAGCAGGTTTACAATCTAGCCAGTTTGGTATCTTGACTGAGTTATAAATAATGAAACCTCAATCTGTTCTTCAAATATATTTTATGAATAGTTTAGAATTTTTAGAGCACGCGTCATAGGTTCAGAAATAAAGTCTAATTAGCTAAAGGGAAATGTACTAGCATAAAAACATTCTGACTTCATAAAAATTTCTTCTGTGTGCTGATTAAAATGGGTCACGCTCACACCTAGAAAATGCTGCTAATTTTTAGAGATGTATTTAGTTTCGGGTTAAAGGTTTGTCATAAACTATGTAAGCCACTTGGAGAGAGACGTTTTCTTTTATGGCTTTCATATGACACGATCAATATTTTCTTAGTCCTTGTTTATTTGTCAGAAGTACAGACAGATAAGTCTTGCATTTTTCAAAAACAGATTCCAATTTCTTTTTTGATATTATTTCTGAAAGAAATCCTGTATAAAGTAAGATGTTTAAATTCCTATAGCTTATGAATGAAATCATAATTATCTTTTTAATCTTTTGATCTAGTAAGAAAACACACACAAACAAAAGCCCAAACTGATAATACAGCATTCAGAATTCAAATAAGGAAAGTAGTATAGAGATCAAACCACAGCAGGACAGAATGGCTTGGTATGGTTCTAAGGGAGTAGTAAATAGCATGAGTCACATTTTATTTCTCAGTGGAGTGTCTTTGATTTAGAAAGTGTGACTTCCTATGCTTAAGAAAATGCTAGAAGAGAATTACAATAATTTATGCCAGGCAAGATACAGAAAATTTCGATATGGTAGATATTGCTGGCTGTTCACCAATACATGTTTCCTCTTTTTCCTGGACCCAGAGCTAGACTACATTTCTAAGCCTGTCTTGCAGTTAGGTATGGGCGTGTGACTTCATTCTAACCAATGAACTGTGAGTGATAGCTCCAGGCAAGGCCCACAAAACTTCCTATATGGGCTCCTCCTCACTCTCTCCCCTTCTGCCTAGTGAATGGAGATGATGATAAGATATCTAGGAGAGCAGGGAGCCACAAGATGGAAAGATTATCAACTGAATCACCATGTAAAAGACAACTCCCTGCTGATAAAGAAGACGTCTGTCTCAAACTATTAGAGAGTGAGAAACAAATTTTATTGTGTTTGAGTCCATCTCTGTGTCTTTCTCTCCATGTATACATGTACATATTCTACTAGAATATATATATTCTAGTAGAATATGCATGTATGAATAGACACATAATAGAATATATATATATGTACATTTCGTAGAATAGTGGAATATACATATATATGCTGTTAGTTTCAGTATTAGTCTATACTAATATATCTGGTATATACAAGAATAATAATTTTCTTGTATCTTAATTTATTGGGAAATAGAAAGTAAAATAGTTAGGAAAAAAAACCTTATAGGTTGGGCTGTACCCATGTGCATTTTTATAAGGCAAACTCTGCAGGTTTCACTGGGAGTCCCTTACTTAATGCTTTATAAATACAAATTTTAGCCTTGGTCAGATAGGTGATAAAGTTTGGAGCACCGGAAGAATA
Organism: Homo sapiens; assembly: GCF_000001405.40. NCBI lineage: Eukaryota > Metazoa > Chordata > Mammalia > Primates > Hominidae > Homo > Homo sapiens. The sequence continues at coordinate 156,674,031 of NC_000002.12, forward strand.
TATGCTCTGGAACACAGGGTGACTTAACAGTATGGTATCTAGATTTCTCAGTTGCTAGTCTCCTATTTTATTTCCTAAGATGTCCCGGTTTTGAGAGCTTTGGCCCTGTCCTAACTATAATTTAAAGACCCATTCAAAAAGCAACAAGGAAAATAGTTTCTCTTTTGTAGAAAACTCTTACACATCTCCATTTGTATGCAATGTTTTTGTTTTCATGTATTTTTTTTGATGCTGTCACTGATATGCTAATGATATGCTATTGCTATCTGGAATGCATTCAGCTACACACCACTGATTTCATTTTTGTGCAGAGAAGCAAAAACCTGAGACTTTAGTAATGATTATAATCTTCTGCTCAGTGAAGAAAGGCTGGGAGGCACAGATTTAGATACATGTATACAAAAAAAAAAGAGATGGTGATAATCTTATTAACCTTGAATTTTTCATCTCCTTTGAGTCTTCATGTTGCAGAGTGAGAATTCTGGCAGGTGGTGGCCAAATTTTAATTTTGTTGTTGATTTACTACAAACTCAATACTCTTTCAGGAAATAAGAGGGGGAAATCCTTATATGGAAACAAATCAGAAACTGAAATTTCAAAAGCAATTTTTAAAAATTAGTTTGCTGCTAAGCAAAATAGAAATTATTCTATTTCTTTTAATACTTGTTATAGAATTAAAACATATGACCATATGATGGAAATATACACACGTGCATGTGGGTTTATGTGTGTTTATGCATATTCTTCATTATTTAACATTTAATTTTTAAAACAATCCCCGAAGAAATGTTCATATTTTAGAAAAATGAGACACTATAGATATCCATGTGTTTCAGTAATTATCCCTAAAGAAGTAGTGGAAAATGTTTTATGTCAATTTAAGAAAATCTGGGCTGGGCACGGTAGCGCATACCTGTAATCCCAGCACTTTGGGAGGCCAAAGTGGGAAGATCACTTGAGCCCAGAAGATTGAGGCTACAGTGAGCTATGACTGCACCACTGTACTCCAGTCTGGGTGACAGAGTGAGACTCTGTCTCCAAAGAAAAGGAAAAAAAGAGACATTTAATAAGAGCCAACTAGGCACTGAGCTAGCTGATGGAGAAATAGGTATGAATTAGACAATTAGACATACTCCATGGCTTCAAAGAGAGGTTCCATTTGACAAGTCAGAAGTGAATGGTAATTTGCAAGACAGTTTCTACCTTACTTGGGACAAGTGATCCCTTTCTTAGGATTTTGCCTACACATCTGCTAAACTAAATATCAAATTTCCTTGTACTGAGAAGCTGCATAAGCCATAGCTTTGGAATCAGAAACTCGAGTTCAAATTCTTGATTTCAACACATACAGCTCTGTTTTGAACAACCTCTGTGTAGGTACATTACTTATCCCCCAATCTGCCTCAGGTTCCTCATCTGAAAATGTGTACAATAAGATAATCTAATATTATTATGAGTAAATAACTTAGCAAGTGCTATATTTATGGTAGGTAATCAAAAATAATAGTGCTTGAAGGAAGAAGGAATATAAGCAATTTTAGAGCATTGTGCAAATAACTGAGAAAATTAACTTGTTTTTAGTACAAATTATACATACTGCATTTTCAACATGTATAGTTTCACACTACTCATAGAACTCTTTTGAAGCCAAAGAGCTCACCTTTCTAGAGGAAGATGTTGAGTTTCAGATGGGTTAAGATATTTACTCAAGATTATTGAATCCGTAAGTAGCAGGAATTGATTGAGATTTTGATGCAAATATGTGTGATTCTACCGCACCTCACAGACTTCCTATAAAGTTAAATTGCTAACCAATGGTAAAGGTTTTTACCAGCAGTGAAAATATTCATACAAATAGGTCTTTGAAAAAACACAAATATAACGAACTATCCAAGTCAAGCTCAAAATTATCTCATCTTTAAACTTAGATTCCTTAAATGTCAGTTTCCACTTAGGAACCATTGTTGGGTATGTTCCCAGGCAAGCAGAACTGGAGAGCTAGAGTTGCTTTAAAAGTGTGTGCACGGCCCAACCTGTATTACTGTGTGGGATGGTCTTGAGTAGAGCCTTCCTCTAATCTTTGACAGGACATGTACCCTGAGGCAGACAGTATAAGCCACTATTCATGGTTTCTATTTGTACTTAAGTGTCTGGCTGAACAGTGACTGGGAGATAATAATCCAACTACCTACAGTTTATATGTGTGTTGCCGTGTGAGTCCTAGAGTAGAAGGAAGAGTAGCCCTGGGGTGGGGACTGGGGCTGTAAATTTGCCTTGGGAGAAATAATTTCCTTTGAGTGATGTCCACCAGCTTTACCCACACAGTTAGAAAATCTTATTTCTCTTTTTATCTCTCATTGTCCTTGCATTAAAATATTCCCTTTCCTAATCACCAATACCTCCACCATTTTATTTTGGACTGATAAAATTCCACTTACTCTTTCTATAAAAGAAAGCATTTCTGTCTTTAATTAAGGTGGTGAATTATTGCTTAAGGGGTGGTTTTCTGGTTGAGAAAAGGAGCTAACACTCAAATTATTAAGATATGGTAGTAATTGAACAGAGAATGATGTTTTAATTCCTTACTACTAGGTTTTATTAATACTTAAAGTCCTAAACATTTAATAGGGAAACAAGTCTACTGCCTACTCCTAAAATTCATTGAAATTCACAAAAACAAAGACTAGAGTACCTAACAATTGTCTAAAAGGGATTGTTAGATCTTTTCTAAAGGATATTTTGGGATCCTTAAACCACGAAAGTGGCTCTTATGTTTCACCAGGCAGCCTCTCACTAGTTATTTACCTCAAATTAGAGATTTCTTAAAATTCTTTGTAAAATTGTGCAGGTGCAGGTTGAGACAAGTGGCATTTAGCAATTTCACTGTGGAGCACATTTTCCAACACTAAAAATGATGGCAAATGTGTATACATAATGATTTTGAGCAGTTCTATCCAATTGAGCTTTCTGAGATGAAGGAAATATCCAATATGGTAGCCACTAGCCACATGCTGAGCACTTGAAATATAGCTAATGTGATTCTAATTTAATTTTAATTTTAATTCAATTTCAATTTAAATAGCTGGTGGTTTCTGTATTGGATAGTGCAGCTTTAGAGAGATCACTGACGTTGTTTTGTCATTGCTTTGTAGTGATTTAAAAAGATCATAAGATTGAGGTAATAGGCCTTAAACTCTAGGAGATTATGACAGCAGCCATTTCACCTGCAGCTTGTAGTACTTACTTTGAATATTTCTTTTTAGATTGAAACTTCTTAATAATTCCAAAGTAGAAAAGAATGTGTTCTTTGTTTAAATATGTCCATTTAAGAAAATTGTTGCTACCATTTTCTAGTTTATTTTAAATACTTTAGCCTATCATTCATTTCTTGTCAGGGATAAATTTGGTTTTAGATTTCTATCCAATGATGGGAAGTCATGCCTCACAGATCTGACAGGTTTCACATGAGAGCATGTTGACATATTTATTGGCTACAATGAGTATAATAAAATGGGCAAAATGAACAAAAGATAAGGTAGTTCATGCAGCATGTAGTCCCATTATTTTGCAATATAAAAAACCCTAATCTCATTGCAGATCAAAAAGCATTTCACAAATTCCCCAAACAAACATAAATAAGAGAAGAAACATAAAACTACATAACTCCATGAAATAATGTTCAGCAGCAGTGGGAAATGTAATGTTCAGATTAAGTCATTAGGTTGAACAGAATCAGTGCATGAAGAAGTCAAAAGTTATAAGAAACCCGCCATCTGCCTCTATTTAGAATTCGCTTATACACCTACATTGAGAGACTTGTCTGCCCATGAAGCTGCAAACTGCATGTGTCCTGGATGTAACAGAGACACAAGAAGCTGTATGTGAGAAATGTGCCAGTCCCACTGCTCTGAAGAAATTCCTGTCTCATAGGGAGATTGGACCTGAATCACTGTTGACTATGTGAAGTGAATAAAGGATGAAAAATCAAGGGAAACAAAGTTCTTTGAACTGGAGTAATCCATACACAGGTGTAGACCTATATCCAATAAAGTATTAAACAACAATAACCGATACACACATGCATACACATAACACACACACACACACACAGAACTGTAAAATGAAAACCAGTCTGTACTCAGATAAGTTTTTTAGACCTCCCTTAAGTGATAACTGAATCTAATGTTATAATCAAAAGAATAGAGAGGACAATGGTTTTACATATTTTATTCAGAAGTTTATTAGTTGATATCCCTCGATTAGACTTTTCTGAAGTCTCTTTTGAAGGTAGTTGGAAATAAACCATAAATGAGTGGAATAAATGAGAACATGTTCTTTGAAATAAAAATGGAAAGAAATATCTGAATAATTTTGGTCATAAGCTGTTTTTACTTCAACTTGCTAATCACTCATTTCTTTCATTAACATGCTGTGTACACAGCATAACTTACGTATATTAAAGTTACAGATAAGCCAGTGGATATGACTGTGGGAAGTAGCATCTTAATGTGGAAAACAATCTTATCTTTTATTTTTATTTCTGTTCCCTTGTAATTTTTATTTGACAGTGTTCCTTGATGAAAATTCTTTTTAGTGACTCCTGGTCACTAATTTTTTCAAACTTTTCATTCAAAAAGAAGAGTGCAGAAAACTGACCAGAAGCAATTACTTCATGAAGTATGCTTATTTCTGCGGTAAGCTGCAGGAAATAAAGCTAGAAAGCTTTTCCTTGAATCATTATTATTTTTATTGTGGTAAAAACCATATAACATAAATTTTATCATTTTAACAATTTTAAAGTGTACAAGGTGGGCCGGGCGCGGTGGCTTACGCCTGTAATCCCAGCACTTTGGGAGGCCGAGGTGGGTGGATCACGAGGTCAGGAGATCGGGACCATCCTGGCTAACACGGTGAAACCCCGTCTCTACTAACAATACCAAAAAAATTAGCCGGGCGCGGTGGTGGGCGCCTGTAGTCCCAGCTGAGGCAGGAGAATGGCGTGAACCCGGGAGGCGGAGCTTGCGGTGAGCTGAGATCGCACCACTGCACTCTAGCCTGGGCGACAGAGCGAGACTCCGTCTCAAAAAAAAAAAAAAAAAAAAAAAAAGTATACAAGGTGGTAGTGTTATGTATGTTTACATTGTTGTGCGACAGATCTCTAGAACTTTTTTATCTTGTGAAACTGAAACTCTATAGCCATTAAACTAATTTCTCCTTTCTTCTCCCCCAGTCCTTGGCAACCACCTTTCTACTTTCGGTCTCTATGATTTGGACTACTTTAGATAAGTGGTATAAGTGGAATCACATGGCGTTTGTCCTTCTGTGACTGGTTTATTTCACTTAGCATATGTCCTTAGGGTTCATTCATATTGTTGCGTATGACAGAATTTCCTTTTTAAAATGCTGCATAACACTCCATTGTGTATATACCACATTTTCTTTATCCATGTATCTGTTGATGGAGATTTGGTTTGCTTCCACTTTTAGCTATCGTGAATAAAGCTGCAATGAAGAGGGGTGTGCAAATATCTCTTTGAGATCCTGCTTTGAATTCTTTTGGATTCAAAATATATACCCAGAACTGAGATTGCTGGATACATGGTAATCCTATTTTAAATTTTTTGAGGAACCTCCAATCTGTAATTTCTATATAGCTGTACTATTTTACACTCCCACCAATAGTGCACAAGGGTTGTAATTTCTCCACATCTTCACCGGCACTTGTTATTTTCTGTTCCTTTGATAGTGTCAATTCTAATGGGTGTGAAGTGATACCTCATTGTGATTTTAGTTTGCATTTCTCTTATTATTAGTGATGCTGAGCATCTTTTTATAGGCTTATTGGCCATTTGCATGTCTTCTTTGGAGAATTGTCTATTCACGTCCTTAGCCCATTTTTAAATTGGGTGATTTGTTTTTTTTGTGGTTGAGTTGTAGAAGTTCCTTATATATTCTGGGTATTAACCCTATAACAAATACATGACTTGCAAATATTTTTTCGCATTCCATAGGTTGCTCTTTTTCTTCACTGATTGTTTCCTTTGATAGCTTTTAGTTTGATATAGTCCCATTTATCTGTTTTTTTTTTCTTTTACTGCCTGTGATTTTGTCATATGTGTCATATCCAAAAAATTATGTCACATCCAATGTCTTGAGACTCTCTATGTTTTGCTTTAGGAGTTTTGTAGCTTTTCGGCTTATATTTCACTCATTTTGAGTTAATTTTTGTGTATAATGTTAAGGGTCCGAAATAATTATTTTGCAAATGGATATCCAGTTTTTCCAATACTACTCGTCAAAGACACTGTCCTTTCCCCATTGTGTAGTGTTGGCATCCTTGTTGAATATCATTTGGCCATATATATAAGGGTTTGTTTCTGGCCTCTCTATTCTGTTCCATTGATCCAGATATTTGACTTTATGCCAGTATTACATCATCTGGATTACTGTTGCTTTGTTGTATGTTTTGAAATCAGGAAGGGTGAGGCCTCCACATTTTCCTTCTTTTCCAGATTGTTTTAGTTATTTGGGGTCCCTTAACAATCCATATGAATATTAGGAATTTTTTTTCTATTTTTACAAAAATTGTCATTGGGATTTTTATAGGGATTACATTGAAATTTTAGGTAGCTGTGGGTAGTATAGACATTTTAATAATATTAAATCTTGCAATCCATGAGCATGAGATTTACTTGTATCTTTTAAAATTTATTTTAGCAGTGTTTTATAGTTTTCAGTGTGTAATTTATATACTCCTTTGGTTAAATTCATTCCTAAGTTCTTTATCTTTTTTCATGCTATAGTAAATGGGATTGTTTTCTTTATTTCTTTTTAGGATTGACTCTCCTCCGATTTTTTTTTTTTTTTTTTTTTTTTAGAACAGAGTCTTGCCCTGTTGCCCAGGCTGTAGTACAGAGGCATGATCAGGTGGCCTTCACTTCCTAGGCTCAGGCAATCCTGGTGCCTTTGCCACCTGAGTGACTGAAACTACAGGCACAGGCCACCACACCTGGCTAATTTTTTTGATTTTTAGAAGAGATGAGGTCTTGCTATGTTGCCCAGGCTGTTCTTGAACTCCTGAGCTCAAGTGATCCTTCTGCTTCAGGTTCCAAAAGTGCTGTGATTACAGGCATGAGTCACCTTGCTCGGCCTTTGAATTCTTAAGTAGGCAACTTAATGTTCCAATATGAAAATAAGCAGCTGACCATCTTAAATTCTTCATTAACAAGGCAAGAAGTCAGAACAAAAGACATTATTTTATCACCAGTGCAGCTCCTTCAGTATTGGATATTCTGATTTAAATACAGGGAAAAGATTTTTAAAAATACTTCATAGTGTTTGCTATATACTGGAAGACAAACATGATTATTATCATTTTCAGTGAAAACTGCATTAGAAATCAAGAATCTGATTAAAAATTGTTTTTCATTATAACATGGTGAACATCACAGACCTTCTAGAAAATGATATACTGAATTAATCATGCCATATTAATAATAATTATTGATTAATATATATAATAGTGCAAAATATAATGTGTACTTTGCACTAATGCTGTATCTATTTATATAGAACTGTCATGTTATTTTTTTTCTGAATTTAAATGGTAAACTATCTTTAAAGGCATAAATTTCTGTCAGTGAAAACATCCTAAAATTTTATTCATTTGATGATCTACAGACCGTCACAGACTTACAGCGGTTTGGCTTAGATTTTTTTGACTTTATAATAGTATGAAAGTAATATGCATTTACTAAAAGCTATATTTCAAATTTGCAATTTTGATCTCTTCTTGGGCTAGCAATATGCCCAAGAGAGTAGCACAGTATGCTGTGATACTCTCTCTCATGCTGAGCAGCAGCAGTGGGCCGCTACTTCCAGTCTGCCACATGATCACAAGGATAAACAACAGATATATTCTACAGTGCGCTGTGTTGCCAGATGATTTTCTCCATCTGTAGGCTAATACAATTGTTCTAAGCACATTTAAGACAGGTAAGATGGAGCTATGACATTCGGTAGGTTAGATGTATTAAATGCTTTTTCAATGTAACAGTATTTTCAACTTATGGATTTATCAGGATGAACTCCACTGTAAGTTAAGGAGCATTTGTATATCTTTATTGCATCTCTACCACATGCTGCTGAAAAAGATAGACTAAATACCTGCTTCTAGCAGACCTTTTTGCTAGTGAAGGCAAAAACAGAGAACAAACCAGTAAACAAATTGTCTGAGTAAGACAACTTCAGATTATAAGTTCCATGACTGAAATATTGTAGGGGGATGGGATAAAAAGAGATTGCAGGAATGAGAAGTAATTGGTTTTGGTGGGGAGAAGCAGTTTTCCTGAAAAGAGAGCATTCTAGAGAAGATGGGAAGAAAAAAAAAAGAGACATAGTCATTTCAAGATTTGGGAACAGGATGCACCTGCACAAGGGAATGAATAAGAGTGCAAATCTCTAGCCATCAAAGACCTTGCACATTCAACACAAATGAATTTGGTGTCGCTGGAATTAAGCAAATAAAAAGAATGGTAGGAATTGAGACCAGAGTGATGCAGGGATCAGTTTCTGCAAGGCTCTGTAGACCATGGTGAGCAGTTTGAATTTAAGTATAATCAGAAGCCACTGGAGAGTTTTAGGCTTGTCTGTGGAAATGAAATGATATAAGCTGTATGGTCAAAAGAAAATATTGACTGTTGAACAGAGAATAAATGCAAGGACCAAGCATGGACATAGTTAGAACCGATGGTGGCTTTAATGAGGCTAGGCTTCTACTTTGAGTCCATAGATCTTACAAAGTGACAGGTTGTCCAAATAACGTGCAGTGAAATCAATGAATGAAAAAAGCAAGGAGCATATGTGATTACTGGACATATTAGTGCTTTACTAAATGAACTTCATGACTTCCCTTTGAGGTAAACTTTTGGATATTCCATTTGGAAGGTTATTTACAAATCATTATCAAACATGTTTTTACAGGAAGATAAGAGAAGGTAATTTCATTTAAAACAGACAAATTAAAAAGACTTATACTACTTTGTGGGTAGGGAGTTGTATTTTTCACCTGAAATGACAGAAAAAAATATTTTTACAGGAAACTTATTTAATTGAAGCTATTGTTAGGCACTGCAAATGTGTTTGGTTCATGCGACAGTTCCCAGGAATTTATACATGGGTTCAGATTGTTGTTCAGGCACCAGAAAATAAACCTCCAAGCTATTTACTGCCTCCATGATATATAAAGTTTGCAGCTTTGATTTTGTGTGATTATGTTCAGCAATGGTGACCTTTAGAGGCAACAATATTGAAGTGTAATGAGGAGATGTTTGATCACTGGTATACAATGAAGAGTTGGTGCTACTTCCCCATTTCTTCCTGGAATTTGTGAAATTCAACTGACAGGCTTTAACCTTTAGACTGCTGAAGTTATAAAATGTATAGGGATTTAGGCTGTTTATACAACACGTTAGATATATGAAATTTTTAGACAGTGTAGCTTCCTTTATCATCTAGTAAAATGATTTTGTATATTTAATAATAACAGTCACTGGTAACCATGACAAGCTGCACTCGGGTATATCATGAAGTATATGAAGTGTAGGTTGATGAAAATAGGAGTGGGGGCCATCATGTAAAATAAATAGACAGCGGGCATTCTCCCCAGACCAGGCGTTTTCAAAATAGATGGATAATGCTCCTCTACTTCTGTTTCCTTTCCATCCAGCGTAGCAGAGAAGCTAGTAAGAGATGACTTATGGGCCCTGCTTGCTAAAAATGTCCTTGAACTCAAGAATGTTTTAAATAAAGGAAAGGTTAAGAGTGAGGTGCTAATGGATTAGAGGCTGTGATTACCAGCCTCTTTTAGAGGTATAATTGTTGATGGGAATGTTGGTGAGGGAGAAGGAAACCAATGAGAACAGAAGTTCAGGATCTGTGGCCCCACTGTTGTCTGAGTGATTCGTAGTAGTGTAAGATCCCCCAAATAAATTATTCCTAGTTCTTTTTTATAAATGATTTTACTAAATTGCTGATTTCTTGGCTTGGCTGGAAGCAATAAGGACTAATTGATAAAGCATACAGCTTTTCCTAATTAACTATAGGATTTTGATTCTCTAGGTAAGAATTTATAGAGTACAGTCCTCTATCGGTATCTGTGGAGGATTGGTTCCAGGACCTCCCTCAGATACCAAAATCTGAAGATACTCACTCAAGTGCTGCCTGATATAAAATGGTGTAGTATTTGCATATAACTTAACTTACATTCTCCTGTATACATAAACTCATCTCTAGATTACTTATAATACCTAATATAATGTAAATGCTATGTAAATAGTTGTTGTACTCTATTGTTCAGAGAATAATGACAAGAAAAAAGTCTGTACACATTCAGTATAGACACAATTTTATTTAGAATATCTTCTATTTGTGGTTGGTTGAATCCACCAATGCAGAACCCACAGATATTGGGGGCGGGGGGCGGCAACTGTGTAGAACAGTGTGTCTCATTTCCAAATAAGCTTATGATTACAAGCATATGTATTAGTGATAGGAATTTAATCTGTAGGGGGAAATAATTTACCTTAGGTATTAGTTTAAAAACATATATATAAAAGAAATAGAGAATTAAATACAGAACCTATTTGTGGGCACTCATGTAAATAAATTTCCACCAAAATGGAATGTTCATGCCTCTTGCCTAGTTGATAATACCATGGCAATAAAATACATTTATTAAATGCCAAGTTACATTTGGAGATTCCAGAGATGAGTCAACAAGCGTGGTCACTGGCTTCTATGACCTTGTTCTTTTTAAGACAAGTTCTAATCTTATTTCTTTCCGTACCCCTAGTTTTTTGTTTTGTTTTTTTTTTACACAGAATCTGGAAGATAGACACCAAGTAAATTTATACCGAATGAATAAAGGAATGATTGAAGATTAAGCTTACCAAAGAAAAATTAAATGTCTTAACAAATAACATGATTAAAGAATTGATGTTTTGTATTCCATATAGAAAAAAGGGGACAATGTGAATAATGTAGCATATTTCCTAAAGAAAATCAAGTTCATTGAATGTTTACAAAAGCTGGAGCCAAGTAGATTGAAACGTAGTTCAGTTGGGTCAGCAAATGTTTGCAAACATTTGGAATTCAAGGGTGCGAAATTCAAAGCGTAGTTAGAAGAAAGACGTGGTGATATGTAAACTTAAGGTGTTTTCTTTGAGCATTTTGCATATCTTTGTATTCAAGTCCTTTTAAACGGCATAGGTTTTTGGAGTCCCATATAAAGTAAAAGAATTCATCTGCCCAATCTTGAGCTGTTTTTCCATATATTTCCAATATTAGTATCAGACAACAGTAATCGCTGATATTTAGAATGTAACTGTTTCTGAGAGTAGTCATTCCTATCTTCTCCTGAGAGACCTGAGAATCAACTGGTGAGAAAGAGCCTCAAAAATTGTCTTGCACAGTTTCCCCATGATTCTAGGCAGAATATATTCCACCCATCAGGAAAATGGCTGGTTATCTTATGGTGATGAATATCTTATAGTCTTACCTACACTACAAAATCATGTGAGGCTTTCCTTCTCTGTCTCTGGTTATACACCCACTGTGTATTACTGTCTGTGAGGACATTACAAACTGTGCTGTGAGGACAGGACCAATCAGGCTCTCTATACGTGCTTAAGCAGTTAGGGTTGAAGGGGTAGTGAGTGAGTAGAGCTCCCCTTGACTTTCTTTGGATAGAGAAGTTCTACTTGATAAGATTGCATGTGACAAAAGACCTCTGGTGCTAAAATAAAAGTTGGAACCTATGAGTACATAACGAAATACCCATTTTGTTCAGTTTGGAGGCTAAGAGGTATATGCAGAAGTTTTTTTGTTTTTTGTTTTGTTTTGTTTTTGAGGTGGAGTTTCACTCTTGTTGCCCAGACTGGAGTGCAATGTCATGATCTCGGCTCACTGCAACCTCTGCCTCCTGGGTTCAAACGATTTTCCTATCTCAGTCTCCTGAGTAGCTGGGATTACAGACGCATGCCAGCATGCCTAGCTAATTTTTGTATTTTTAGTAGACACAGGGTTTCATCATATTGGTTAGGCTGGTCTCGAACTCCTGACCTCAGGTGATCTGCCCTCCTCGGCCTCCCAAAGTGCTGGGATTACAGGTGTGAGCCACCACGCACGGCCTGCAGAGGTATTTTTTTACAGACTACTTTCCATAGCCTAGTTTTCTTTCAACTGGAATTCCTATTAAATTTCAAGTACTACTTTAAATATGAAATATTTTGAAAGTTCAGAGGATATAGCAACAGCAAGGTGAGGATGGTATATAATTTGGAGGACCCTCTTAAGAAATATAATACAGAACTATGAATACTAAATTCCCAGGGCCTCTGCCAGATCCTTGGAAAGGGCACAATGTAACTGAGGGGTCTGAATCTTCATTAGCTTCATAGGAAAGTCTACTTTGAATTAGACATGTGGAAAGAAAGGGTGTTAATATCAGTGAATGCTTTTTAACGTGCATTTCATTTATGAAAGTTCCAGGAAACCAGAAGGACAGTTGTGCAAAAGCAACCAGATTTAAATTATTTTTTAAAGCTGAAGATTAGAAGAAGACATTTACTAAAAATGAGTTATAGTTTTAAATGACCACAAGTTACGAAGTCTTAGTTACTTAAGTAATTACATAAAAGAGATGAGGAAATATTGAAATGGCATTGAATAATAGTGAGAACAGGAGCAGATCTAAGAGTTGTGTGGTATGACTACATTATGAAGCCTGACTCAAGGTGTGATAGGATTAGAATTCACCGAAGTAAGGGCAGGCAAAAGGGATTCTGAAACCTACTCCATGACTCTCCAACATGATGCAAGTGTTACATTCAGTGTCTTTAGAACTTCAATTTCTGAGCCTTTTATACTATTACTAGAAATTATTTTAAAAATTCAGATTTTTTCTTATCTAAATGAGATAAAACCTAAAATTGTTGAGTTACATTGTAACCATTTTAGAGCCCAGGGTGGTTAATTTTATTTATAATTATGGTTGGTGAAATAATCTTATTCTTTTATTATTTTAAATTAATATTCATTGAGTACTTAGTATGTACCAGACACTTTACATACATGATTTTATTTCATCCTCACATTAGCTAATGAGATAGGTTATTTTATCATTTCCCATTGTAGATAAGGGGACTGAGGAATTTCAATGTTGAATATTTGCCCAAGGTCACCAGGCTTGAGTGTGGTGGTGAAGGAATTTTTACTTAGGCTGTCTGACTTTAATGCTTGTATTCTTAGCTATGATGCCACATTACTAACAAGGCATTTATTAATAAATAATGTATTTGCTTGAGCTGCCATAACAAAATACTACACTGGTTGGCTCAAACAACAGAAATTTATTTGCATCCAGTTTGGGAGACTGGAAGTCCAAGATCAAGATGCCATCAGGGCTGGTATCTGGTGGGTGCTTTTCCCTTGGGTCCAAGATGGCTGCCTTCTCACTGTGTGCTCACGTGGTATTCTTTGTGCAAGGAGAGAGAGCAAGTGAGTTCTCTGGTGTCTCTTCTTACAAGGACGCTAATCCTATTGAATCAGGGCCCTACCCTTATGACCTCATTTAATCTTAATTACTTCCTTAGAGACCCCATCTCCAACTATAGTCACACTGAGAGTTAGGGCTTCAATATGTGAATCTTGAGAAGGATACAATAGTTCAGTCCATAACCCATAACTCTCCTTGCTTTTCACAATAGAGTTATTTTTCAAGTTAATTATGTCTTGGTCTATTGCGTAAGAATGACCATTTACACACTACTTTTTTCCTCTGACTCACATGGAGGCTGCTTCTAACTTCCATCCAACCCTTCCCTTGAGAGAGCATCTCCACTGCCCAGGCACTGGGCCCCACCTGCTGACTGCTGGGGAGACTATGACCATGTGATCTTCTCAACCAGTCCCAGCTCCTTGTATCTTTCTCTGCATGGAGCACTAGGAGACCTGGAGCCTGAAGGACACTCTTTTCACCTATTTTCTTTTATCTTTCACTTCTTGCAGTTTTGATATTTTTACTTCAGATAATGGTTCTGTTATGTACTCAACACTGTAACTCATTTTCTCCTTTGCTGTGCTCTTGTTGTCTACTTGGCTTTTTTTTTTTTAATACCTTAAGTTCTAGGGTACATGTGCACAATGTGCAGGTTTGTTACATATGTATACTTGTGCCATGTTGGTGTGCTGCACCCATTAACTCGTCATTTACATTACGTATATCTCCTAATGCTTTCCCTCCCCGCTTCCCCCACCCCACAACAGGCCCCAATGTGTGATGTTCCTCTTCCTGTGTCCAAGTGTTCTCATTGTTCAAGTCCCACCTGTGAGTGAGAATATGCAGTGTTTGGTTTTTTGTTCTTGTGGTAGTTTGCTGAGAATGATGGTTTCCAGCTTCATCCATGTCCCTACAAAGAACATGAACTCATCCTTTTTTATGGCTGCATAGTATTCCATGGTGTATATGTGCCACATTTTCTTAATCCAGTCTATCATTGATGGACATTTGGGTTGGTTCCAAGTCTTTGTGGTTCTTTTTTTTTTTTTTTTTTTTTTGAGGGAGCCTCACTCATTGCCCAGGCTGCAGTGCAGTGCACTGCAACCTCTGCCGCCCAAGTTCAAGTGATTCTCCTGCCGCAGCCTCCCAATTAGCTGGGATTACAGACACCTGCCACCATGCCCAGCTAATTTTTGTATTTTTAGTAGAGGTAGGGTTTCACCATTTTGGCCAGGCTGGTCTTGAACTCCTGACCTCGTGATCCACCCACCTTGGCCTCTCAAAGTGCTGGGATTACAGACGTGAGCCACTGCGACTGGCCAGCTGTTGTGTTTTTTAAGAAAAAAATATTTCCCATGTTCATTTTACCTGTGAATTGTAAAACAAGCAAAACAAATCAAAACAGAATAAAACTCTGCTACTAATCATGATGGACAAAGGAATGGGCTTTACTAAGGATAAGCCTGCTTCAAGGAAAAATAAAACCTTAGATTTAAATAAAAATCTTAAAATGAGAATGACTCAGGATTCCACTTCATAGACTCAGTGGCATTTCCGGTAGTTTTCAAGTTACCAGCAAAGGTTGCTATTATTGGAGATGCCAACTCAGCAAGCACAAAGGTAGGATCCAAGGTCCTGAGATTTTGGGACCATGAGCAAGTCATATAAATGGTGGTAGTTTCACTTGTTTGTCTATTAAATGAGAAGGTTGAACTAAATGACTGAAGGTCCCTCTGGGTTTAAAACCTAATGTTATTCAGTGAAGTAGACCTCACACCAGGCTTTCTTGCTGCATGCTTTCTCTCCTCTACCATGTTCATTTTTGTAAGGGAAAATTTTGGAGGTAAATGTTATAGTTGCCCCAGGAAGCCCTGGCTTCAAAGGCTGGGAGTGGGGCAAATGAAGAGGGAATGAAGCTGAAAACCTCAACACTTTCTCCCAATCCCCGCAGAACATCTTGGCCTTGCTGCCCTTCATTTGCCTTTTGAAACAGTCTCCTTTCTTTTCTCCTGTGAAACTAAACATCTTGGTTCTGTTTGAGCATTCTCTCTCCTTTCTCAAGGGCTCATCTTCCTTCCCTTGCCCCTGAAAAGAGGAAATTCCCCAGAGCTCTATCCTTAGGTTTATGTTTTCTCTCTGCATACTCGTGCACTAAACTTGGTGCATTCACATCCTCAAGTGAGAGCACTAATGTGAGATTTTAACTAGTGGGCTGATGTTAATCTCTGCCCATTGACTCCCCTCCCAGTCACCAAACCCTTAAACCCAAACAGCCTTCCTAAAGCTCAGCCCTCTTCCCCTTCATGTCTTTACATCCAGCCAGGTAGCAAATTCTGTCATTTTAACTCTGAAATGCCATTTAAATCTCTTGCTCCTTATCCTAACTCTTATTAAGTCAAAGGAACCTCATAAGTACTGTGCAAAATCTTTCTGAATAACGGGTGACCATCAGGAGAATCTCCTCAAAACTGCCATGATCACATGAGTCCCCTTCTCATGAGCTGTCAGTGTTCTCTGACCCCTGCTCCTAAGTACAGCTTTACACATGGCTTTGAAGGCTAACCACAACCTGACTCCAAACTAGCTTTTTAGAGGCCCATCTTGCACTTCTCTCTCACTCCACCCAACCACTTCTTTACCCAGCAACACAGACTCTGTGCCATGCCTCAGACAAGCCTACTCTTTTCCTACCAGGGGTCATTTATGCTATTCCCTGCACTCAGAACAACCTTCACTTGTTCATCAAAATTCAGCTCAAATCACATTTTCTTCTTAGATATGCTTCAACTACTCAATTTCCAAATATTCTCTCATCTTTTGAATTTTCTATAGCTCTTAACATTTTTTCCCAATCAAGAGAGTAATTTTATATCCAGTGCAGAATATCTAGAAATTAGAGAAAATCAGTGGAAACACCATGAACTTTTAAAAAGAAAATACTGCTGACATTTGGATATGTATGTAGTTTCAGTATTTTCCTATGTGTATTTTTATGCAAAAGTAATATAATATGTATTCTAATTTTTAATCAGCTCTAATTACTTTTATATATATTTGGAACTTCTTTCTTATAAAAGATGTTCTTTAACAATATGATATTTAGGAACCCATTAGCCTTTAAAAATTCTCTTACAGTCAACATTTACAACATTCTACTTTGGACTCTGATTTGGTGGTTCCAGGTCTATTTTCGGTACTTAAGTTTAATTTTTTTTTTTTTATGTTAGAAACCATACAACAAGGTATCCCAAATACTACCTGGACTGTCTCAGTCCCAGAGAGAGAATATACAGGAGTGTTCACCCTTGTGATCAACAAATAAACATAACCATCCTTTAAAAAATCAAAGTCTTTAGAAAAGTTACCAGCATGGATCTGCCTACCAGGTGCCTTGCTCCTCTCTCTAGCATAAATATTTTGGCCACCATATTATCCTAAGTCTTCCTCCTATAACTTTCCAAGTTCAGAATTTTTATAGCATTAACATGACATGGCAGAAAGCCAGGATATAAACAGAATCTCCTGACAAAAATGAAAACAAAATTATAATTAGTTGGATAAGGATTTTCTTTCATATTTAGACATATTAGCTTCTTTTAAACCATTAGAGTTGCACAATAGTTATATAATAACTAGGACAAAAACTGAAACTTCATTCACTTTATGTTTTGGTTTAAGCCAATTTAAAACTATATTGCTTAATTTCTGCTTTAAAAAACCAGTATATTAGAGGAAAAAGCTTACCTATGTGTATGAAGGCTAAGTTAAATATTGCAATGTGCTCCCTAATATTGCTGATTTCCACCACTGGTAAGGGCTACTTCGTGTTTATCAGCTGAGATTTTACATTTTTGTGGTATACTATTTTAAGGCAGGAAAAAAGTTCTTTTCGTTGTGACAGTTACTTCTCTCCTTTAACTGAGATACCTTGTTCAACTGAAGTGATCTTAAATGAGGTGGGCTTTATTATGAGAACTTTAAATTCGTGTCACATAAAATTTAATGAAGTATGAAATTTTAAGCATTTTATATTTTCATATTTTTAAAACAGTGAAAGACTTACCTACTCAGCTTACTTTTTGAAAGAAAATACCAAATCTTCCATATTTGATGGGTATTATTTTACCAAATTTCAAGTCACACAACTCCTCGAAATATTAAAACATCTTTACGTTTAGTTAGCAAAAATGTAATTGGTACATTTTTGAGGAGCTCGGCCTTTAATGGATAGATTTTTCTCAAATTCCCCAAATTATCTTCAAACTCCGAGGCATTTAAGAAAAGAGAAGCAAAACAGCATTAGAAGAACTGCGTGGAAATCAAGATACATCTATTTCAAAGTACTCCAGTAGAATATTTGACATTGTCATTTCCTAGAGCCGTCCAGTTGACACTATTTTTCACCAAATTAGGAAAAAAGATTTAAGATGCATTTGTTTGTCGTTGTGATTTATCTATTCTACTAATTCAACAAACACTTATTGCATATTCATTAAGAGCTAGGTATTATATTAATTTCCGGGAATATATAACTGAGAACCAGATATACACAGCTCATCATCACTGAACTTGCAAAAGACAGACATAGATGTTACTTGTGCCATTAAAAGGAAACAGCTGTAGTCTAGTTTGGACTGCCTACATAGAGAGAAAACAATGGGCTTAGGTGTTTTGAAGGAAAAGTTCTGATTCCATTATTATTTTCATTCCACCTCAAGCAAATTCTCAAAAATGATATAAAAAGAGACCAATATTACTTGTCTAAAATTTTTCTACCTTTACAGATTTGTTGGACCTCTGGATAAGCTTTATACTTTTTTTCTGTTTTTCTTCACATTTCATGGTATTTGGTATCAAATTTAGCAAATAAAAATGACAAATTATTCTGACTCTGTCACTTACTTATATGAAGTAAATAAGGTTTAATTAGGTGATATGACTTGCTCAGGTCATCTGATTTTGATTAATAGTAGCAGAGGCCAGTGTTAACCAGTTTAGTTGAAGCCAAACCATGGTTCGAAAGTTAGTACTATTTGATACTTCTGGGGTCACTGTTTTCCTTCAACCTTTCAGGAGTCAAGATCTGCCATTCCTTCTTGAAGTTATTGGAAATGTAGACTATCACCTCATTTATCTTTTGCATCATTATTGCTTCTTTGTTCATCTTGTATTTGTCTTCTTTTGCTTCAAGAAAGAGCCCAACTTTTTCTTGATCTGGTAGCCATCTGATATCAAAGTTTGTTCAGTCACATCATCCCCCAGCTATTTCAATCATGAAATCCTGTTCGTTTGGAAAAAAGGTGACAGAATATATTAAAAATAGACCTAAAGATAAATCTATTTAGTGCTCTTAATAGTTAGCTAATTAGAGAAAGTAATCCTCAGGCATTTGAAATAGGGTAATAGTTTTCCTAGGATATTAATTTGTAGAAATTGAGATCCTTCTTTTATATATATCAACAAAAGATGTAAACATATTTCTTTACATAGATTAAATGCTTTTGGATTTATATAGTGTATTTGATTAAGAAGGGAAATCTAACCATGACATAGTAGTTATCTTATGTAAATTCTTCTAAATCATTTTCAGGGCTTAAAAAAATCTAAGCAAAGATGGTACTTCATGGGTAAGTTGTCTCTCATCAGAAAAGTAAGTGAAAGGTCTAAAAGAAAGAATACTTATTTTTTCTCCATTTAGAGAGAAGATGTATTAATTATGACTTTCACAGGCCAATTATTGTATCCTTGGTCTTTTTAGTTGATCTCCATTACCACTTGAAATTCCCCATGTCCAATAAAAAGAACAATAAGTAGTGTGCTTAAATGCAGACATGATTCACCTGCTATAACTGTTCTTTATTATTTTATTGACAAATGTTTAAATGAAACTACAACAGACTGAATGTTTATGCCCACCTCTCCAAATTCTTATGTTGAAATTCCAGCCCCCAGGGTGATGGTATTAGGAGGTGGGGGTTTTGGTAGGTAATTAGGTCATGACAGCAGAGCTCATTCATTACAAAAGAGGCCCCAGAGAGTTCACTGGGCCCCTCCACCATGTGAGAGCACAGAGAAAAGACAGTTATCTATTAACTAGGAAGTGGAGTCCTCACCAGTCATGGAATTTTCTGGAGTCTTGATTTTGGACTTTCCAGGCTCCAGAATTGCAAGAAATAAATTTTTGTTGTTTATAAACCACATGGTTTATGTTATTTTGTTATAGCAGACAATGGACTAAGATGAAAACACTAAATTATTATTCTATGTTCGGGGATTATTGCCAAACCTAATGCTATCATTCATATATAACATTTCTAACACTAGAGTGGTGAGACTTACTTTTGGCTTCTAATAGTATCTCTGTAAAAACCAAGAAAAAACAACAACAACAACACTGATTTCTTCTCTTTCACTTTTTCCAGACCCAAGATATTACCTTATTCTGCAAACAAGGACTTTAAGCACAAAGAAGGAAATCATAGTAGAAGTTTCAACTGTCAACTTCTGCTTAGGATATCCTTAATAAAACCTTCATGTCGAGATTTGTGAAACAACTGACGAAATCACTGGCCTGAAGTTGCAAACAAAGTATTAATCAAGGCAGCCCCACTGTGGCTTAATAATATCAATGACAGACACTTCTTGGCAATCAAGGATCCTCTGATGATCATCTAATCAAACAGCACTGATTCTATCACACTATGGCTTTGGTTGAGCTTAACAGAGAAGAGGATTCATCCATAACCAAACAGGTTCAACAGAACCTTGAAAATCAAAGGAAAGTGCAAAAGAAAGTGGTTCTAACTTTGAATTGTGGCATCAAGGAACAGTAAATAAAATAAATTGAATAACAACTTCTGCAGAGCTGAGAAGTCTCAAAGTTTCCTTCATCTAAGAATATGTTAAAATGACATTGATGGGGTCCAGCATATTGGAGCCTGAAATCTGACTTCTTCACGTGAAGGTGTGGGTATTAATTTGGTTAATTTCTAATGATCATCCATAATAACTTACAAAAGAGTTTGAATAATGAAACAATGTAAAAAGAAATTTGGTTCCAAAAATAAGCCTTTCTAAGACAGAAAATGTCTTAAAAACCTGCAGTATTTAGAGGCTTAATTAGTATACTGGGTGATTATGACATCTAGCTCGTTTCATTACCTTCCTAATGTATTATTAGTTGGCAGTTAAATACTGTCTGCTGGGACCTAAGAGTTTTTCCTCTTGTCTTTCTGGTCATACTTATTGCCTAGGCCGACAGCTTACCTGTAGTGAGGAAGAAATGGAACACCAATTAGAAAGCTTTCAGCCCAGCACCCATGGAAAAGCCAAAAGCTGATAAAGGTCAGCGTGAAATTTGAATGACAGGGCTAAAGTCTTTTACTCATAATTTTGTGTTTGCAATAGAATTCAGAGCAATTCACAGCCTTAAAGGCCTTAAGTGAGAACAGCAATTAATTGTAATGAATAATCTGACAAATCTGGTTGACATATGGCTGCTAATGCCCTCCTTTCTAGTGGGAGCAGTGGAGGGATTAGATTAACTCAAATGAAATCTGGGACCGCCATGCCATCTGCATGTTCAGTAGGAAACGGTACACGTTAAATGGTGAGTGGGTAGATATCTGTCTTGTACTCATCTCTCTCTGAGCCCTTGGCAGATCTGGGAATAGCAGTTTTATTACTGCACCAGCTGCCTGTCAATAGAGTAATACAGGAACGGCATGAAGTGCAACCTAGAAAGCTAATATACCAGGAAGCTGTTAAAAATTAACTAGATACAATTAACATGGACTTCTAAATTTCTCTGTTTATACAATGCATATTTATATTTTGATTTTGGGTTTGCCTCATTGAATGTTCGGTAATTAAACAATGTCATTTCCATCTGCCCTATTTATATGTTCTACCTGAAGATACAAGTGGCAGGTAGAGATTGAATTTCATATATTCTCATGAGTTAATAAAACTTTCACTTTTCCATTATTTTGAGGGTCAGGTAGAGAATTATTAAATGAAATCTACAAATAATCCCTGAACTCATTTAGAAAGCCCCACCTCCTTCCCTCAAATGCACCCCTTCCTTTTTTTTTTTTTTTTAACTCCAAAGTTAACAAGTGGTGAATTGCAGTGAATTACTCTTTCCCCTCTTTGGCCCCAGCACTGCCCCTGATGAAGGAGGTAATACTCAGAGATGTGGCCAAAAGCAAGGGGGCGCTCATTGTGATTGATTTCTGCAAAATCAAATGTTATTCGTTTCTGCTGGGAGAGGAAGACTACCATTCACACTCATTTCCTCCTACCAGATTTAATGTGTTCCATCATAAAGCCAAATTCCTCCTTGATCTGGCTGCTCTGCTGAGTGGAGTTTACTTTTTATTTTACTTGAGTACCTTGTATTACATTCTAAGGCTAAGCTGTTATTTGAACAAACAACCAGTACAGACCTTGCCTTTGGGATGTGAGTTAAATCCCTGCCCAACTTGCTCACTTCCACTTAGGCCCCGGTTGCCACTGCCAGTTATTAGTCGCTGGAGAATATAGATCCTGAAACCTCATTCTGCCTCTTTCTCTTTATAGGCTTTTCACTTGATCAAGTTAAATCCGTACAAACCTTGTGTGCTTGAAAAGAAAACAAACGGAAATTCTCTTCCCAAGTCTTTTGTCAGTTTCTTAGAGATTTCCATGGAACACAGTAGTGTTTGATACAGGTTATCTATTTCTCCTTCCTATCAGAGCTGCCAATCATTCCTGTTTTAAAGGGGAGCAAAACTGAACACAAGCCCATTAACTAGCTCACTTTTAATCTCCCAGCAAATCAGGAGAGCATTCAGATGTGTATACAGTAGCCTTTTCCAAAATGAGCAAATCTGATTTGATCAAGGATAAAACAAAAACTCATCTTCCTGCAGGCAAGTATGCAGAAAAGTCAAAACACTAAGAGAGACAAAGTTCACTCTCTGGAAACATCAGCCTGGATGGTCAGGTTTATTTTGTTTGTTTGTTTTTTTGAGACAGAGTCTTGCTCTGTTGCCCAGGCTGGAGTGCAGTGGTGCGATCTCAGCTCACTGCAAGCTCCACCTCCCGGGTTCACGCCATTCTCCTGCCTCAGCCTCCCCAGTAGCTGGGACTACAGGTGCCCACCACCATGCCCGGCTAATTTTTTGTATTTTTAGTAGAGACAGGGTTTCACCGTGTTAGCCAGAATGGTCTCTATCTCCTGAGATGGTCAGGTTTTAATACATCTTCCTTAGTGCCTTAGTGGTTGAGTTTGAAGGCAGTAGTGGGATGACAGTGGAAAAACCACTCCTCCATTTTAGGAAAAGGTAATCTTTACCCAATGGTGTGTGGTCTCAGACAAGACACTTAATCTCTTTGAGCTTTAGTTTCCTCTTCTGTAAAGTGAATTGGTTCAACTGTGTGATATTGGTGTAGGGGTAGATATTTTCTATTCCTCCTCAGTATGAACTGAGTGGTGTTGGGTTGCCTACAGCTAACATGGGGTTGCCATTTCTCCTTTCGCTAAGGGATCCAATTACCATCTCTAATTCATTTTAATGTTTTGTAAATTTTAAATGTATTCAAAGTACTATACCTAGTAATGTCATATATTAAATATCAGCCTGGGATCTTAATAACTTATTTGTGGTTATTAAAACCTAAACTTGGGTTGTAAAGTTATCTCCAACCTCTAAGCAGTCTTTTCATCTGCCTCCAAGCCAGATATTTCTTAAGCAAACCAGAGAGAAGAAATGCTGCTTCACAGCCTATTAAAGATGGAAGATTTTTACAGCCTTTGTTGGTAACACCCTCCAATGTTTTTAAAAGCATCCTTAATATGAATTTTTAATTTCCTAAATGTAAAATGAGCCCCTCATTTTTTTTTTGCCAGTGTGAATAATAAAGAGGCTGCTATCCATAATGGCTGAATTGTACTATATGTTTTTTTTTCAAATATTACTGTGGATATGCATACTGTCCTTAACAGTTAAGATTTAGAATACCATATGAAATCTTCTACTCAGTGATCATTTTGAGACTTTTTAAAAAGCAGTTGTTATTAGTTGCTAATTATGCGTGTTACGATTGGAAGTTCAATATTTAGGTGAAACCTAAAATCTTTATAATTTTCTTCTCAGCAGGAATAATTTTGATATGAAATTTGAAATGTATGGACACTTCATGAATAGTCTTCTGGGGTGATGTTTAGAACATTTGATTTGGCCTGAATATGAAATAATTGAAACAGATACTATCTGGAAAAAATTGGTGTGGACATACAGATGTTTACTGGCTGAATATTAATGATGTTTTATGTAAAGATTGCAGATGTTCAAACTAGTGATTACATCTATGGTTTCCATCAGTACTCAGATTTTGGGACCTTTGAACTTGAGCAGAACAGTGGTTCTCAAAACTGTGGTCCAGAATCAGGTGCTTCAGCATCACCTGGGAACTTGTTAGAAGGGCAAAATCTCAGGCTTCACTCTAGACACACTGAATCAGAAGTCTGCATGTGGGAGCCAGCAGCCTGCATTTTAACGCGCCCTCCGGGTGAATGTGATACAGGCCAAAGTTTGAGAGCCACTGTTCCGGATGACAATTCTTTGATTGCCTGCTTTAATCTAGAACAGCTCTCATGAACAGAGCATTCTTGTGTATTAGAAAAAGAGGGAACAACAACAACAAAAAAGGAGACCAACTAGTAAGTAAATAAAAAATGAAGGAAAGGATGAGGGTACAAGGGAAAGAAAACTCATCCCTCCCTCATGCTACAAACAACTGCCTTAAAGGGCCACTCACTGTCAGGGAAGCCACAAATCGCCCACTCCTATTTTAGAATTCACCTGTCTAGAAGGTAAGCAAATAGTTTTGTAAAGTTATTTTGGGGTTTATGTTTTATATATTTTTTTCTTCTTTTTTTCTGACCTAATTATTTTCCAGCGATTTGGTTCATTTTATTATTATTTTTTTGTCTCCTAAGCAACTATAGAGATCAGCTGGTCCACCTTCTGCCTAAGGATACCTAAAACGTTTTATCATTCCACACTTCCTACATATGTAAGTTGTTCAGCTTAGGCAAGAACTGCCCTCATCCTTCCACCCAGACTTAGTCTCTCTGCCAACCCGTAATCTTTTGCTTATTCTTCAGCTATTTCTTTCATCCTGCTTAGAGAGAAGTTTCCCAAACATTCTGCACTTATTTTCAGAAGGAACCTCTATGATTTGTCATTTAATTGTGCTTCTGACTCTCAGAGACCTCTTAACAACAACGACAAAGAAATAACTAAAACGGGTGCCATGATTGTCTCTCCCTTTGGTCTGCCTCAGCCAGCACTTGGCTTTGAAAAATACTCAATAATTCTTTAAGTTCAATTGAATCGTTTAATCCTAAAGAACTTTTCCCACAGGCCATTTTTCCATATCTCTTTAGCTATGCTGACCATTTATATTTTTATTTAAAGGGAGGGTTGCTTTATGATTCTTATGTGATATGATTCTATCTCAGGATCATGCTGGATTTAGAAAAATCTACTGCTAAAACCCATGAGTTGTAATCAAACTACAATTCCTTGAAGCTGTTTAATATACTTCTGTTCCTTATAGAGTTTGTTTTTCACTAGTTTTAGGCTGTGGAAGTATTCTCAATTAAACTTATTCTGCTGGACACTGCTTTGGATACTTTCTCAAGGTGTTACAGTGATACCCCTCTCAGTTGGTGTCATTTGCCAATTTAACGAGCATACTTATTCTTTTTCCACCCAGTTAATTGATAACAGACCTAAAATCAGTTCAGTCACTCAATGCCTGGACACAGACTTTTGTGACAATTTTCTACTGTCCTTGAAGTTATAGAATTAGGATCACATTTTTAAAGGTAATTTTGTGAGAATGTGATTGAGCTTAATAGATTTATGCACATTACTTTTCACTATCAGTTTTGTCCCACAAAATTACTAGAATCAACAGTTCAATCTTTATTTTTTGGTCTTTTTAGCATTATATTGTTCTTGTGGGGGTTTAATATAGGCTTTAAAATTTTTTTTTGCTGTGTATTAGATAAAAATGTAGAGAGCTTCCCTATTTTCTTATATACCAAGATATAGAATATCTTTCTGACTTTCAGTGATTCGTGTCCTATGAGTATTCGAAGATAGAACCTCGTGTAAAACTTCTGTCTGGTTTTTAATGGTGTTGGATAAAATCTAGTAGACTCTATATTTAACACACCAGCTCGTGTTAATAGACTAGTTTGTTTCCTACCTCTGAGTTGCCTGCCTGAATTTTGAATTCACTGTATTTGTAAAGATCGAGGTAAAAGAAGCTTTTTAGTTTTTTTTTTTCTTGGTACTATCTATTATCAACTTCTTTTACCCGTTTAATAAAAGGGTCACATTTTCTTTCATTTTTTTTCCATTTCTTCTTGTAAACCTCCAACTTCACTTGACCCTGCCATAAAGTCCTAGAAAAAGTATATAGGAGTTTGAAAGGCAAGCAGTTTTTACAGCATTTTAATACATTTCAATTTTGCAGCACAATGAATACTGACAGTATAATAGAGACTTTAAAAACAAAGGTAAAGCAAACTATGAATGCTGTCAGAATTTCTAATTTCACTAAACTCAGCAGGCGTAAGGACGCATTTTCTTGCATATTAGACCTATCAAGTAATTATAAAATTGAGGAATTTAATCAGCCTGTATAGCACTTTGAGCTCACATCAGATTTTTAAAATGTTGTCTAAACATCTAATTTTAAAAATAAAATATTGTTTCAGATGTCTGTTACTTATAGACATCTACGTATGTAAGTAATATGCTGTAGACTAGTAAGATTCATTTCAAAAATCTGACTGCAACTTATAAAATTAATGCTTTTTCTTGGATGGCTATAATAAACTTACCAGATCAAAAAACTACATCCTTTTATTTTAATAACTGTCACCTGGGTTAAGAATTATGCTTAGTTTTAAAAATGCAAACAATACTACTACTTCTAAATTTATTTTGTTAATGAAGCCACTACATAAATTTAGCACTTTTTTTAAATTAATTGCTCACACTGAAAAGGGCTAAATTCAGAATAACTCTCAGTTTCAAAGACCTAATTGCCAAGGACCTAGCCTTAATATTAACTAGGATAATTATTATGCAAAGCATACCCACCCAGAATGTTTGCATAGCTATCACAAGCGCTTTCATAAATGATGCTTTAATTAGTCTTAATTAGAATTTGTTTAAGTCAGCAGGGAATGCAGGGCCCGTGAAATGATGTATGTAATAAGCATCAGGCTCACTTTTTACTTGGGGAATAGAGCTGACAAAATCACATCACGTTAAATTGATTCAGTCAGAATTAAAATTCTTATGGTATTAATTAAATGGAGGATCTCATTAGCAGGCTGCAGGGTGACGGAACGACTCTTTGGCGACCAGATGTGAGGGAAGAATCACGGAAAGAGAGTATCATTAGACCAAAAAGTCGCTGTATCTTAGATATAGACATGATGACATTCAGCTTGGTCTAAAGTTGTCCAACTATAAATACTATTAATATACCAAGAATTCAGAACAATTTTTCTTTTTTTTAAGGTCATTTGACTTCTTCAAGCTTCTGTACCACACTAAAAAATTCTGAGTATTCAGAAACATTTTTATTTGACAAACCAACTCAGTAAACTTGGGAACCAATAATTAAAATGGATACATGTTTTAATTACTTTTTTTAATGAACATGAAATTCTTTGAGAAATTGTGTCTGAGGTTCTTCATTTTTTATCTACATTTCTTCTCTTGGATTCAGTGATAACAGAAGATATAAGTTCTATTTAGTCAAAAAATAATAGGTTATTGATAAATGTATTCCCAGAGCCACTGGTGATTTTTTTCCTCTCTGCTGTTTGGTAAGGAAAGAAAGCACACTTTTTGTTATTTATAAAACAGTTTGAGTTTGCAAGTCTAGTCATGGATAAATGATATTTACTTCCAATTAGCATCTGTTTTGTGAATGGCAAGGGGCATATGTTGGGGCTGTGTACATTTTTGGTCAATATTAACAACTTAAGGCTTTGGCTTCATTCTGTCGTAAAAGTGAATATTTTTCTTATAAATGCTGAATGAATAGAAAAATATGGAGGCTAAGCCTTCCTGTTAAAAGACACTGAGCTAGATAGCTGATATTTAACCACAGAGGAAGTGAGGCTTATCATCCATAAAAAACCTTGAGTTATGGAACACAAAGCCAAGTCTTAAAAGAGAAAATCAGAAAATTAATTTAGTTGTTGGTGGAATTTAGAAGTTGTTTATACTTACAATGTGTCATAACTAAATAAAGGAGTAAGTGAACGTTCGATGTCTACTGTAGGCAAGCATATATTTGGGGAAATTTCCTTGGGTTCTGATTCCTATTTATTTAAAAAATGGATAGTAGATTTCTTCCATGTTTTAATTGTGGAAAATAACATTAAAGGAGGCTGTAGACTGTGGGTAGACTTCTTCTTAAGAAGGGATACATGCTTGCTTCCAGATAGGACTCCTGCGTTTTAGTCTCAATCAGTTTCCTCTCCCCAGTAATTTTTATTTTGGTGGAAGTAATTCCATGTTGTGTCATTTCCTGTTCCATTTAGACTTTCTATCCTCAAAATGAGGTATCAAGATTTTAAAGGCACAATACAGGTTGTTAAAAGAAAAAAAACAGCTTAAGTCTCTCTCACTCTACTTTGAAGTGTTTTGTATGTTTTATGTTTTGACTGACTATTCCACCCCTTTCTGACAGGTTGCTGAGAGTTTAAGTAAGACATAACAACAATGACCAGCCATTCAAATCTCCAGAACATTTAAAAAAGTCAAAACACTCTATGCCAATGCCTTTTCAGCAGGGTGTAACATATGAAAATACACTTTTGTAGCCATCCACTTTTTAAAACCTCATTCTTGAATTGGTTTAACGAGGACAAAAATTGATCTAACATAGGGCCATTTCCTTGACAACATGAAGAAAGAAAATGCAAGTTCATTCCGAGTTGATCCTTTTTGCAAAGATGTTGTTATGCAGAATAAACACGGAGTGCAGTTCTTCTTTAACATTTTCAAACACAAAGTTAAGTGGCTTGTTCTTCAACGGTGTTATGTAGCATATGCCAGATAAACCAACAACCATACTGATGACAGGGCATTTTGCATATCAGTAACTGAGTAAACACACATACTAAGATGATCTGCAAATGGTCAGCTTTGAAATGAATTCTGTGTTGGATTCTAGGAATTTATATGAGGTCTGTTTGCTTCAACATTCTATAGACTTATTTTGGGCTTTAATTTTTTTAAAGATGTCCAAAATGATAATCCTAGTTTGGTGCCACAATCAGTCATGAGTGGAAAAAAACCTCAACACATCCTATTTAGGAAACTGGCTTTCTCATGGCTATTTTTCTTCTTGAAAAAAAAAAAAAAAAACATATTTGTTTTATAACTATGCCTGGAGCCAACTCCTGTTTTCCTTGCCTTTAGCAACCGAGAAACCTCTACTGAGGCTTTTTGCAGCCTAAGGAATATAGTAAAAAGGTTACATAAACATTCAGAAAAATAAATTAATAACCCCAAGTCTTCAAAATGTACTGAAGAGGGACAGGCTATGTGGAATGCAATTGTTTTGATTTAGGTAAGGCCTGCTGTCCAATATCCAATTCCATTTGTAAAATTAATAGCTCCTCCATGAATTGAATGATTTAAACTTAGAAACATCTCCTTGGTACCACATGAGGATTTGGTGAAGGGTATGGGATTTAGAGTCACAGAGGTATACATTTGCATACTGCGTCTCTTCCATGTACTAGCTTGGAGACATCTGGGGGATCATAAAAACTTTGCCTTACATAAAGAATGAATGCTTGGACTGTCTCTTAAACTGCACTTCATGAGGGCAGGACTATATATGTCTAGCTTTGTCAGAACCCCAAATATAATACCACTCAATAAGCTTTTGTTGAATGAATGAGAATAAGTTGAATTAACTTATATATGCAATGACAAAAGAAAAGTAAAATTTTATATGTAGCAGCTGGCGGATCATTTCTTGAGACCGGTCTGTGATCAAGGAAAACAGAGGAAAAACACAAGGCATTCGAACAATAAGAAATATGTCTTTTTGCAGCAGTGGGAGAACCAAAAAATTGTACCAAGAGTGGAGCCAGAGCCTAGAGAGACATATTGCTTGAGGTAGAATTTTGTGTAACTTAGGAACAGCATCAGAGTTCCCGTGATAACATGAGAAAACAACAGAAAATTTGAAATTCTGGGAAATTTGTCTTGTTCTGGGAATATTTGTTGGGAGTATTTAATTCCCCAAACATTGCTTTCAAAACGTTCTTTGGCATAAATTTGCTCTTAAAATGACATGGCTAAACTTCCTCTCCGCAGTAAATTAAATTACAAGACCAAATAAGAACCAAACAAAATTATTTTTAGAAAGATAGGAGGAAGAAACATTATGCATGTCTGATTTTTGAAATTATGGCAAATAAAAGTGGGAAGAAGCATTTTGATTTAGTGGATTAAGCTAAATCAGAAATCATGATATTGCATACATGACCTTAGGTTAAGTCCCTTTTTTGCCACCACTTCCACTGTTGCAAAATGGTCAGAAACAACTCTTGTCCCTGAACTCTTGGGAGGTTACAAGAGTAATTTGGTGAGACTTTAAATAGCAGTTGTGATATTTAGGATATGAGCCAAATAAGAAGGCCAGGAACCCAAGGAATCTGTGTAACAGCGTAACCACATTTCATTAACGTTTATTAGAAAAGGAGGCCTTTTTATTTCCTGGCACCACAGACACTACCAGCTGCTATATTTCATGCTTACAGCGTCCCAGTCAAAAGTTTTAGGTACTTTGAATTATTTATTTCCTTCATACTTCCAAAACTGCTCCCTCAACATATAATTATTTCATTAATTATACACACAGCATCTTTGTATGACCTGGGAATTTTATATA
This sequence comes from Homo sapiens, assembly GCF_000001405.40. NCBI lineage: Eukaryota > Metazoa > Chordata > Mammalia > Primates > Hominidae > Homo > Homo sapiens. Next base: position 156,704,584 of record NC_000002.12, read on the forward strand.
GTATGTTGATTATAATAGTGACTTAATTTTTGATATTTGACTGCTGATAGCTTCCAAGCCCCATGCTTTCCTCTTTCCTTTCTGCCCACATCTAGGCACGCTGGTAAGAAAGCCTGCATATTTTCTTTTTTGACACTGGTAGGAAGTTGAAACCACACAAGCCCCAACCTGTGCTCATTGGGACTCTTACGCAGCCTCACCCATCTTTAATAAAACTTCACAGCTGACTCCTTTCCCTGCTCTCTTAAACCATTTTCAGAACAACTTGGAAGCCAGCCCTGCTCTCCCCAGAGAGGTTCATTATGTGAGTAATAAACCTTTGTATATCCCCTTGTTGTGTGTGTGATGTTACCAGTTTCACCCGAACCAGATCTTGGAGGTGGGAGGTCCATCCCCTTCTGTGGAGTGATCACAACACCAATTAAATATGTGTCCTTGCCACAGATGGAGGTTCACACTAAAAAAATGGAGGATAAGAATCTGTTTGTTTGTTTATTTTAGCACAATGTGCTTTTCATCTACGATTTCTTTTAGACCCTGGATGCTCTGGGGACCAACAGCTCTGTAATACACCAAAAAGAACTAGATATTGATATGACTAAGAGTATCAACAGCAGGGACAGAGGTTAGGATGAAAACTTGAAGGGCTATCAAGTCCCATTTCTTCAGGGCACAAGTTGATCTCCAGCTGGGATCAGAAATTTTCCCTAGTGGTATAGCACTGCCTAATTAGCTGCATTAGGGAAGACTCAGCCTTTCTCTGAGCGCTGGCCACAGTTGGAGACAGGAAACTCACCTACTTCACTGGTAAGGCTGTAACACTTAATTAATTAATGGTTGCAGCATATTTATGATCTTAGAATAAAAGGGGGCTATAGGAGTGAAAGTATTACTATATTCCCTCTTATTGCTAAGAGGAAACGAGCTATTTCGGCAAATCAGTGAATCCAGATTGAAATATTTTTTTCCCCAAAGATTGACGGATTACAAATATCTTCAGAATGGTTTTCCTTTCCATTAATTCTAGAAACTTGGATTAGTGTAATTTGTAAAATATGATTTATTTTTACTATAGAATTTGATGCTTATGAACAAATCTTCAAGGTATAATTACATGTTCATATTATAGCAAAAGCTGTTATTTGCTATAATAGTAATGGTGAAGGAGAAAGTGAAGAGTCTTAATCCAGGAATGAAAATTCTCATTGTCCATATAGTTGAGGGTTCAAAATAATGATGATATGCATGAAGAAAATGAGGAGACAGCCAGACACCCTCCTTAGGTTTTTATTCAAAATAAACCCCCCATGCATATTAAGTCTTACAAAAAGAAATATTGTCTAAGTGGATAGGGTTGGGTTTCAACCTATACTCTGCTTCTACTGTGCTTGGGATCTAACTGAAATTCAACTCAGAACATCTTTCTTTGATTTTCCATGAAGTAGGTACAGTGGATAAAAGCAACCAGGTCAACTAAACCACTGAAGAAATAAAGGTGGGTAAAGATAGAGCCAATCCAAACTCTAGATTAAAAACAAAGGCAAAAAGAGAAATCAAGTCGCTAGGAAACTCTAAAGGGAGAAATTAGGTGTGGTCTCTGGCACATGGAAGTATTAGTAGAATGGCAAATAGAAATCCAAATAAATGATGCATTAGTTGTGGAAAGATGAACTGCTTATATGGCCTTTCTCTTAGCGACCTTAAATAGAGAAAAATAGTGCTGTTAAATCAAGTTTAGCCTAAAGCTGCCTCCTTACATATTTTAAGTTTGGCCTAAAGGTTTCTCTGTACATTGTGAACCCTAACAGGTAGAGGTGTAAACAGACTAGTCTACACTTGTGCCAATCATTGAGTTTTGGCCAATCAAATGTAGCCAACTATTTGAACTATGTTCAAATGAGGCAAACACTGAACTGTAACCCACCCAGCTGTCTCTATACCTCACTTCCATTTTCTGTATATCACTTTCCTTAGTCTGTCCATAAATCTTCCTCCACCACATGGCTGCACTGGAGTCTCTGAATCTACTCTGGCTCAGGAAGCTGCCCAAATAGTTCACTGCTCAATTAAACTCTTTTAAATTTAATTCAGTTGACGTTTTTCTTTTAACAGTACTGTTTTTTTTCCTCCATATAAGTTCTCCCCCAATTGTCTTGTCTCTGCTACATAAACCCACCTCCAATTCTCAACTACTTTGTGATGACATCATAAATGCAGAAAAAGCATCTTGTTTTCTACTCATTTTCTTCTCCCTTTTTACCAGAACCATAGCATGGAAAACATATTTACATTGGGCTACTTCACTGAATTTTAAACTCCCCAATACCAGAAAGGGACTTAGGAGGTAGAGGGGTCCCGAATGTGTTGATCTACAGTACAAAGAACAACTGATAGAGACTCAGCAGAAGAAGGCTTTAAAGAAAATCATAGGTATGGAAAGAAAACCATTTTCTAAAGTGCCAAGAGCAATTACCACTTGCACTTTGACCTTCTCAATTTTAGTAAGTAGTAGTAGAAAGAAAATGCCTGAACAAAAGGTTTGCAGAAAGAAGACTTGGGTCAGATAAGGAACTCAGCTAGAGGATAACTGATGATCAAGATGCTTTCTGAGTTGCAGAGAATAGGGTATTTCCTTGTAAGATGGTTTCATAGCGCTCACTGAGTTGGTAGTTCAGGGAGTGGTTACAGTCTATGCAAGACAATGCTGTAATTTTTTTTAAGGAGATTTCCTGTTCTCTTTTGTATTTCTAAGCCTCTATCTTCATCAAAAAAGAAGAAAATGGTGATATAATAGTCTGGATCATCCAGTCAAAAATTCTCATTTAAGTACACAGGAAAAGTTCTAAGCATAGAGATCCTGTTACCAAGCAAATTACTGACACCTAAAAACACTCTCCACTTTCTCCATAGATTTGATTTTGAACCCTCTCCTATTTATGTTTGCACTTGTCTTAGTCTCTATGTTTGTCTACACATTGTTCATTATGAAAAAAGTATAAAACATTTGTATATGTAACATATTATGTATTTATGAGAATATCATGGATATGCATACACATATGTCTCTTTGGCCCAGTTAAAATTCAGGAAATGGTTCCTGCATCTTGAACAAAGTATGTATGTTGGAGGTCATTTTTGAAGTTTAGATTGAACAGACTTTGTATAGTGAGAATTTTCTATGTTTGGGAAAAGAGAGCAATAAAATATAGTGGAATAACCAACCAACCTGTAATACAATGAGTAATCCCATAAAATTATCTCAGACTAATTGATTCACCTGACCTCTTATTTTTCATATTCACTGTTTGAAAATATTTGGGACTGCACCAACTAATGTCTTATCAGCTTTCAGTTTTATTGCCAAAACACTTAGGGAAAACCCAGAAATCTAAGAGCATAATGCAAGAAGATTAAAAAGTAGCACAGGCTAGGGCCTATATTTAATTCTCTTTCTTGTCTGTGGTTCAAACATGTTAAATACCCTATGAAAACTGGGTTAATGTCATCAGTGTCTGAGAACTCAGTGATCCTATAAGCCATGTAGGTTTTGATGGAGGAATAGGTCAAGACCACAATGAGGTAATCACCAGTGTTGGAAGAAGTGAAGACAGAAACATGAGACATTTAGAAGACAAACAAAAGCATAGGGACTCTGATCTTAAAAGAAAAAGGCTGGTGGAAAAAGACAGTAGTCACTGGGTGGTGACTAATGAGAAAAGACCGCTTTATGATTCTATGCTCACCAAGCCCTGGTCTGCAAATAAGAATCAGGTAAATAAAATTACCTACTTCAGGACCCAGGAGATCCGCTGCCATCAATGTATGAATTAATCATTAAATATTTGTGAGGGAAAGACATGGTCCTTACCTGCAGAGTTATTGTAATCTAGTTAGAAAGCAAAGATACACACATAAACAGTTAAATCTCTCCAAAGCATTGTGTGATAACTTTCAGGTGAACCTGAAATTTTCAAATTTGTTCACACTAAAATCCATGCATGAGTTTCAGTAACTGGGAAACTGTATTCCTTCCTCCCATTTCCCCATTAATCAAGTTATAAACCCAGTCATCTCCTCAGAGAAAAATGAAAGCCACGTGGAAGTCTTAAGTGTTGCTCAAATGTGCTCATGAATTGTTCATTCATGTTTTCTGTTCTAGGTTCTTCATTGATGTCTGCAGGACACTTGAAAAATAGTCCCACCTTTTCAGTGGCTGCCAGGGCCCTCCATGGGACTACTCAACCTTTGAATGCCATCACTGATCCTTCTGGTTGGAGTGCAAAGGCTACATAGAAGCTTGCAGGACAGTTGAGGAGAAGACATGCTCTCTAACTTGTGTCACTGGGCATCACATCAGCTCTAGAAACTGCACTATTTGAATAGCAAGTATCATAAAACCACTCTTGAAAATATCTCCCTAAACTTTTGGTTCTAACTCCTATAAAGGTCAGGGGGCTTATGGGACCAAATGAGAACTAACTCAGTGCTGTTGCTTTTATGGCTTGTGCTTTTCTACTTATCCATCTCTGCATCCCAGGTGCTAGACACCCTCCCTAGGTTTTTATTCAAAACAAACCCTCCATGCAGATCAAGTCTTACAAAAAGAAGTGGATAGGGTCTAAGTGGATAGTTGGGTTTCAACCTATACTCTGCTTCTACTGTGCTCGGGATCAGCTGTGCACCACGCTCTCATGATATGGTAATGGAATTCAGAAGGGTGGAAACTTTCTCTAGCCTAGGGCGGTAGGACCAGGAAAGGAATAACTGGTGGCACTTGACCTTTGCTGCAAATATAATTAGAGTCCTATAGGAGGGAAGAATAAGAAAGATCAAAGTGGCCTCTCAGGTAAGAGTGGTGTAGTGAATGCTGGTGTGCCACCCACGTTTCTGCTACAGCACCCAGGCACCAATTCCTTGGCTGTCTGGAGAGTTAGCTGCTAAAATTCAAAGCTGAGTCCTTGTCTAGGAGCTACCATCAGCTCAAGAGACCTGTGTCACTCAATCAAGGTTATGGCAACTTATACCCAATGACTGGTCAACATGAAGGTACAAAAGCCTCTCTCCTTGATTCATTATGAGACAACTCTGCAGGCCAGTCCAGCTCTGGAGCTCCTCATGGTTGTGGCTGAAGTCCTTTTTGCAACCACAGCACCATTCAACTTGTCCCTCTGCCCGATATTCCTTCATTACTTACTTACAGGTGCTTCCCAGAGATCTTTCCATCAAACTTCCTACGTGCGAATTTCAGTCTTACAGTCTCTTTCTTGGGAAATCTACTTAAGAAATGTAAGGAATGAAATAAGATTTTTCAGGGGACAATAAATTTATCAGACTAGTTAGAGTAGAAGTTTAGTTGGGGTGGTTGTTTAGGATATAAATCTTGAAAAGCAAGTTTGTAGAGAGGACGTTGAATGATGGGGTATTGTATTAGGACTTTAACAGAACAAGACCAGCAAATATGTGGCACATGAGCTCTCAGGAGCTTCTCCGTCCTACACTTAGAGTAGACATCATCAATTGATAGCTGCTCTTATCTCTGCAGAATCCCAGCCTGAATGTAGAATCCTTCCCTAGGCTGAGAATCAGTATCGCTTATGTGTTTCGAAGCCTACATTCGAGCCAGCCATACAATTATCATTTCAATTTCTAATAAGGAATCCTCAAGCATTGAGATTCAAGGCATGCTTATTTACAAGGGTATTTATCTAATAGTCATTTCGTATACAAACTTTAATGTTACACAGAGGTGAAAATTAAAGGCATGGAGAACAAAAATGATATATCTAAACTATCTACTGTCAAGGACAGAGATTCCTTTTTGAAAATCACCTCTTTGAAAATGCATCAAAATAGGCACTTTTTTTTTTTTTTTTTTGAGATGGAGTCTCGCACTGTCGCCCCAGGCTGGAGTGCAGTGGTGCAATCTTGGCTCACTGCAAGCTCCAAATAGGCACCTTTTTTTAGGATACTATTTTTAAAAATAATCTCATCTGATAGGGTAAAATACAAATAAGATGAATACATAATAGAATTTTTTAATATGCCAAATGATGATATACAGTTAGATATAAAATATCACATTTCAGGTTTTGATTCTTCTCCAATATTCCTGTCACATTTAATTTTGACATTTTAGCATCACAAATGTGTGTGCAGTCTTACTAAACATGTCTTCAGTGTGACCAGTGAGGGTCTGTACTCTGACTCATAGTATCATGTGTTACTTTTGTAGGGTGACCATGTATTCCATTTGTCCAGGGTAGTTCCTGATTATGCCATATTCCATTTCATTGTTACTTTTTTCTATTTTTTAATTCTCTTTTTATAACTTTTATTTAAGGTTCGGGGGTACATATGAAGATTTGTTACGTAGATAAACATGTGTCATGGGGTGTTTGTTGTACATATTATTTCATCACCCAGGAATTAAGCCCAGTACCCAATAGTTATCTTTTCTGTTCCTCTTTCTCTCTCCCCCTCCCCCCTCAAGTAGCCCCCAGTGTCTGTTTCCTTCTTTGTGTTCATAGGTTCTTATCATTTAACTCCCAATTATAAGTGAGAACATGCAGTATTTGGTTTTCTGTTCCTGCATTATCCTGTTTGCTAAGGGTAATAGCCTCCAGCTCCATCCATGTTCCTGCAAAAGACATTTTCAAATTCTTTCTCATGGCTGTATAGTATTCCATGGTGTATATGTACCACGTTTTCTTTATCCAACCTGCCATTTATGGATATTTAGGTTGATTCAATGTCTTTATTATTGTGAATAGTGCTGCAATGAACATATGCATGCATGCGCCTTTACAGTAGAATGATTTATATTCCTTTGGGTATATACCCAGTAATGAAATTGCTGGGCCAAACAGTGGTTCTGTTTTTAGTTCTCTGAGGAATCCCTATACTGCTTTCCACAATGGTTGTACTAATTTATACTCCCACCAACATTGTATAAGTGTTCCCTTTTCTCTGCAACCTTGCCAGCAAATATTATTTATTTATTTATTTTTTTACTTTTTAATAATAGTCATTCTGGCTTGTATCTTATCTCGTTAGTGGTTTTGATTTGCATTTCTCTAACGATCAGTGATATTGAGCTTTTTTAAATATGCTTGTTGGTTGCATGCACGTCTTCTTTAGAAAAGCATTTGCTCATGTCCTTTGCCTACTTTTTAATAGGATTGTTTGTTTTTCTCCTGTAAATATGTTTAAATTCCCTGTAAATTTTGGATATTAGACCTTAGTTAGATGGAGAGTTTGCAAAAATTTTCTCCCATTCTATAGGTTGTCTGTTTACTCTGTTGATAGTTTCTTTTGCTGTTCACAAGCTCCTAAGTTTAATTAGATCTCATTTGTCAGTTTTGCTTTTGTTGTGATTGCTTTTGGTGTTTTTGTCATGAAATCTTTTCCCATTCCTATGTCCAGGATGGTATTGTCTAGGTTGTCTTCCAGGGTTTTTATAGTTTTGGGTTTTACATTTAAGTCTTTAATCCATCTTGAGTTGATTTTTGTGTATAGTGTAAGGAAGGGGTCCTGTTTCAATCATCTGCATATGGCTAGCCAGTTATCCCAGCACCATCTATTGAATAGGGAGCCTTTTCCCATCATTTGTTTTTGTCAGCCTTGTCAAAGATCAGATGGTCATAGATGTGTGTTCTTATTTCTTGGTTATCTATTCTGTTCCATTGGTCTATGTATCTGTTTTTGTACCAGAACCATGCTATTTCAGTACTGTAACCTGTATAGTTTGAAGTTGGGTAACATAATGCCTCCACCTTTGTTCTTTTTGCTTAGGATTGCCTTGGCTATTTGGGCTCTTTTTTTTTTGTTCTATATGAATTTTAAAATAGTTTTTTTCTAGTTCTGTGAAGAATGTGTTGGTAGTTGGATGGAAATAGCACTGAATCTGTAAATTGCTTTGGGCAGTATAGCTATTTTAATGATATTGATTCTTCCTATCCATGAGTGTGGGATGTTTTTCCATTTGTTTGTGTCTTCTATGATTTCTTTGAATAGTGTTTTGTAATTCTCCTTGTAGAGATTGTTGAGTAGTGTTTTGTAATTCTCATTGTAGAGATCATTCACCTCTATGGTTAGCTGTATTCCAAGGTATTTTATTTTATGTATTTATTTTTTTGGTGGTAGTTGTGAATAGGCTTGCCTTTCTGATTTGGATCTAGGCTTTGCTGTTTTTGGTATATAGAAATCCTAATGATTTTTGTACACTGATTTTGTATCCTGAAACTTTTAAGGAGCTTTAGGGCCAAGACTATGGGGTTTTCTAGATATTAGAATGTTGAGTATAGGCCCCCAATCCCTTCTGATTTGTAGGGTTTAAGCTGAGAGGTCTGCTGTTAGCCTAATGGGGTTTCTTTTGTAGGTGACCTGCCCTTTCTCTCTAGCTACCTTTAACATTGTTTCTTTCATTTTTACCTTGGAAAATCCTGAATTCCTGAATTTGACTGTTGGCCTCTCTAGCAAGGGTGGGGAAGTTTTCATTGATGATATCCTGTAATATGTTTTCCAAGTTATTTACTTTTCCTGGGCCCCTCGCCTTTTAGGGATGCCAATGATTCATAGATTTTGCCTGTTTACATAATCTCACACTCTCAGAGGTTTTGTTAATTCCTTTTAATTCTTTTTTCTTTATTTTTGTCTGACTGTCTTATTTCAGAGAACCAGTCTTCAAGTTCTGAGACTCTTTCCTCAGCTTGATTTATTCTGTTGTTAATACTTGTGGTTGCATTGTGAAATTCCTGTATTGTGTTATTCACACAATTCTGTCAGATCCATTAGGTTCTTTTCTATACTGGCTATTTCATCATTCAGCTCCTGTATCACTTTATTGTAATTCTTATTTTCCTTGGATTGTGTTTTGCTGTTCTCCTGAATCTCATTGATTTTTGTTCCTATCCATATTCTGAATTCTAATTCTGTCATTCTAGCCAGTTCAGCCTAGTTAAGAACTCTCATTGGAAAACCGGTGCAGTTGTTTGTGGGACTCACAACACTCTGGTCATTTGAGTTACCAGAGTTCTTGTGTTGGTTCTTTTTCATGTTTGCATGTGGGTGCTCCTTTTACTGCTGTGTAGATTGAGTGTAGTCGATAGATTTCTTTTCTGGTGTTTCCACTGGGCTGAGGCTTTGTTTAGGATTTTTTTTTTTTTTTTAGATGGATTCTTGCTCTGTCACCCAGGCTGGAGTTCAGTGGCGCGACCTCGGCTCACTGCAAGCTCCGCCTCACGGGTTCACGCCATTCTCCTGCCTCAGCCTCCCGAGTAGCTGGGACTACAGGCACCCGCCACCACGCCCAGCTAATTTTTTTTGTATTTGTAGTAGAGTCGGGATTTCACCCTGTTAGCCAGGATGGTCTTGATCTCCTGACCTTGTGATCCATCCGCCTCGGCCTCCCAAAGTGCTGGGATTACAGGCATGAGCCACTGTGCCTGGCCAGAGGGAGGTATCTTAGTAGTGATTGTGGCTGAGGGTCATTTGCTTGTTTCCTGGGGACTCCACTCCAGAGAGATGCAGATCAGCAATTGCTCAATGCAATCAGCCCAGGATGGAGGGTTTGTGCTGTGGGCCTAAGCCAGGCATTCCCTGTCTGGTGATGAGCAGCTGGGGGTGTGTGGGACCCATGGGAGATGGACTGGCTTCCTCTCTTTGGGTCGACTGCACCTTGGAGGTGTGAATGAGGCATTTGGGATCTTTGCTCCTTCATTAGTCTGACAGTGGCAACAGCAGTTTCACTACAGAGGCAGTGACAGAGATGCTTTTAGTTGCCCCTGGAGGCTCTGTCCAGAAAGTTGCTGAGTTTCTACAGGGTCGATTGCTTTGGCAGGGAGTGGCTGGAGGCCCAGGTCTGGAGTACCTGTGAGGAGATATGGGAACAGACACCAATGTAACAGTCTGGCTACTTTTCTGTAGGGCTGGTGCAGTACGGTTGGGCCCACTCCAGTCGCTAGTCACCTCGGATTTTCCAGGACCTGGAGGCACCACCAGTGAAGGCTGTGAAACAGCAAAGATGGCAGCCTGTCCCCTCCCTCTGGAAGCTTCATCCCAGAGAATTATAGGTCTGTTGCTGGCCCAAAGGCACCTATAAGAGATGGCTATAGACCCTGGTTGGAAGGTCCTGCCCAGTGAGGAGAAAAGCAGTCTAGCCATGTTTTGGTAGAGCAACCATGCTGTGCTAGGGGGTTTGCTTCAGCCCCTGGCCGTCTCTGACACTCCAAAGCCTGAAGGCTGGAATAGCTGAGTCACTCAAACAGCAAAGATGGTGGCCTGCCTCTCTCTCTGGGAGCTCCATCCCAGGGGGGTTACAAATCTTTGTTGGCCAGAGAACACTGACAGGGGTGGCTGGAGGCCATGGTTGTGAGGTCCTGCCCAGTGAGGAGAAAAGGGATCAGGGACTCCCTTAAATAAGCAGTCTGACTGTGAAGAATGTCAATAGTAGTTTAATGGGAATAGCACTGAATCTGTAAATTACTTTGGGCAGTATTGCCATTTTAATGATATTGATTCTTCCTATCCATGAGTATGGAATGTTTTTCCATTTGTTTGTGTCCTCTCTGATTTCCTTGAGCAGTGGTTTATAGTTCTCCTTGAAGAAGTCTTTCACTTCCCTTGTTAGCTGTATTCCTAGCTATTTTATTCTCAATGTAGCAATTGTGAATGGGAGTTCATTAATGATTTGCCTCTCTGCTTGTCTACTGTTGGTCTAAGGAATGCTTGTGATTTTTGCACATTGATTTTTGTATCCTGAGACGTTGCTGCCGTTGCTTATCAGCTTAAGGAGCTTTTGGGCCGAGATGGTGGGGTTTTCTAGATATAGGATTATATCACCTGCAAACAGACAGTTTGACTCCCTCTCTTTCTATTTGAATAACCTTTATTTCTTTCTCTTGCCTGATTGCCATGGTCAGAACTTCCAATACCATATTGAATAGGAGTATTGAGAGAGGGCATCCTTGTCTTGTTCTGGTTTTCAAGGGGAATGCATCCAGCTTTTGCCCATTCAGTATAATATTGGCTGTGTGTCTGTCATAAATGGCTGTTATTATTTTAAGATATGTTCCATCAACACCTAGTTTATTGAGAGTTTTTAACATAAAGAGATGTTGAATTTTATCGAAGACCTCTGCATCTATTGAGATAATCGTGTGGTTTTTGTCTTTAGTTCTGTTTATGTGATGAATTACGTTTATTGTTTTGCATATGTTGAACCAACCTTGCACCCTAGGGATGAAGCCAACTTGATTGTGGTGGATAAGCCTTTTGATAAGCCACTGGATTCAGTTTGCCAGTATTTCATGAGGATTTTAGCATTGATGTTCATCGGGGATATTGGCCTGAAGTTTTCTTTTTTTGTTGTATCTCTGCCAGGTTTTGGTATTGGGATAATTCTGTCTTCATAAAATGAGTTAGGGATCTTTTTAATTGTTTGGAATAATTTCAGAAGAAATGGTACCAGCTCCTCTTTGTACCTTTGGTAGAATTCAACTGTGTTTGTCTGGTCCTGGGCTTTTTTTTGTTGGTAGGCCATTTATTACTGCCTCAGTTTCAGAACTTGTTATTGGTTTATTCAGGGATTCACCTTCTTCCTGGTTTAGTCTTGGGAAGGTGTATGTGTCCAGGAATTTATCACTTTCTCCTAGATTTTCTAGTTTATTTGCATAGAGGTGTTTATAGTATTCTCAGATGGTTGTTTGTATTTCTGTGGGGTCAGTAGTGATATCCCCTGTATCATTTTTTATTGTGTCTATTTGAGTCTTCTCTCTTTTCTTCATTAGTCTAGCTAGTGGTTTATTTTATTAATTTTTTCAAAAAATCAGCTCCTGAATTCATTGCTTTTTTTGAAGGATTTTTCATGTCTCTATCTCTTCCACTTCAGCTCTGATCTTGGTTATTTCTTGTCTTCTGCTAGCTTTTGGGTTTGTTTGTTCTTGGAGCCCATATAGCCAAGACAATCCTAAACAAAAAGAACAAAGCTGGAGGCATCGCACTACCCAACTTTAAACCATCCTACAAGGCTACAGTAACTAAAACAGCATGGTACTGGTACAAAAACAGACACATAGACCAATGGAACAGGATAGAGATCTCAGAAATAAGACCACATATCTACAACCATCTGATCTCTGATAAACCTGACAAAAGCAATGGGGAAAGGATTCCCTATTTAATAAATGGTGCTGGGAAAAGTGGCTAGCCATATGCAGAAAATTGAAAGTGGACCCCTTCCTTACACCTTATACAAAAATTAGCTCAAGATGAATTAAAGACTTACATGTAAAACCTGAAACTATAACAACTCTAGAAGAAAATGTAGGCAATAACTTTCAGGACATAGGCACATGCAAAGATTTCATGACAAAAACATCAAAAGCAATTGCAACAAAAGCAAAAATTTTGGGACAAATGAGATCTAACTAAAGAGCTCTGCCAGCTGGGTGTGGTAGCTCATGCCTGTAATCCCAACAGTTTGGGAGGCCAAGGCGGGTGGATCACCTGAGGTCAGGAGTTCAAGACCAGCCTGGTCAACGTGGTGAAACCCCATCTCTACTAAAAATACAAAAATTAGCTGGGTGTGGTGGAATGTGCCTGTAATCCTAGCTCCTTGGGAGGCTGAGGTATGAGAATCACTTGAACCCGGGAGGCAGAGATTGCAGTGAGCTGAGATCGTGCCATTGCACTCCAGCCTGGGAGATAGAGTGAGACTCTGTCTAAAAAAAAAAAAAAAAAAAAAAAAAGAGATTCTGCACAGCAAAAATAAACTATCATCAGAGAACAGATAACCTACAGAATGGGAGAAAATTTTTGCACACTATCCATCTGACAATGGTCTAAAATCCAGAATCTTCAAGGAACTTAAACAAATTTACAAGAAGAAAACAAACAACCTTGTTAAAAAAGTGGGCAAAAGACATGAACAGACACTTGTCAAAAGAAGACATTTATGCAGCCAACAAACGTGAAAAAAAGCTCATTATCACTAATCATTAGAGAAATGCAAATCAAAACCACAGTGAGATACCATCTCATGCCAGTCAGAATGGCTATTATTAAAAAGTCAGGAAACAACAGATTCTGGCGAGGCTGTGGATAAATAGGAACAGTTTTACACTGTTGGTGGGAGTGCAAATTAGTTCAACCATTGTGGAAGACAGTGTGGCGATTCCTCAAAGACCTAGACTCAGCAATACAATTTGACTCGGCAATCCCATTACTGGATATATACCCAAAGGAATACAAATCATTCTGTTATAAAGATACATGCACACGGCCGGGAGCAGTGGCTCATGCCTACAATCCCAGCAATTTGGGAGGCCTAGGCAGGTGGATTACCTGAGCTCAGGAGTTCGAGACCAGCCTGGCCAACATGGTGAAACCCCATCTCTACTAAAAATACAAAAATTAGCCGGGTATGGTGGCACACGACTGTAATCTCAGCTACTCGGGAGGCTGAGGCAGAAGAATTGCTTGAGCCCGGGAGATGGAGGTTGCAGTGAGTTGAGATCATGCCATTGCACTCCAGCCTAGCCGACAGAGCAAGACTCTGTCCCCCGCACCCCTCCCAAAAAAAAAGATACATGCACGCATGTTCATTGCAGCACTATTTACAATAGCAAAGACATGGAATCAACCCAAATGCCCATCAATGATAGACTGGATAAAGAAAATGTACATATACACCATGGAATACTATGCAGCCATAAAACACAACAAGATCATGCTCTTTGCATGCATATGGCTGGAGCTAGAAACCATTATTCTCAGCAAACTAACACAGGAACAGAAGACCAAACACCACATGTTCTTATTTATAAGTGGGAGCTGAACAATGAGAACACATGGACACAGGGAGGGGAACAACACACACTGGGGCCTGTCAGGGAGGTTGCGGGAGGGAGAGCATTAGGATTAATAGCTAATGCTTGCTGGGCTTAATACCTAGGTGATGGGTTGATAGGTGCAGCAAAGCACCATGGTACATGTTTACCTATGTAACAAACCTGCATGTCCTGCACACGTATTCCCAAACTTAAAATAAAATAAAATTAAGAAAGAAAGAAGCAGTCTGGCCATGTTGTGGTGTGCTGAGGGATCCCTTCCACTCCCGGTTGGCATGGACTCTCCAGTGCCCGAGGGCTGAAGCCCATTTCATTATTATTAAGATTTCCTCCTTCTGCTCTCAAAAGATATGTAGTCAGTCTATCTTTAAATACGTTTTTATTAATGTTTCAGGTATAAAATGGGTTTCAACCAAAGAAATGGAACAAAAATATTTACAATTGCCCTTAAATCTCTGTGGCCTAAAAGAGATCTTTTGCTTGGTAAATTTTCATCTTTCTTTGTCGTGAAACTACAGCTGGCGGAGGAGAAAGTGGTAGATGGTCAGCAGCTTCAGTTCACTCAGAACATGTCATGATTTTATGTCTGTTGCTTAGTATTGCACATGTGGCCTGAAATGCAGAAGGAACCTTGGGTAGACAATCAAGAAAATTATTATTATTATTATTATTATTATTATTTTTAAAAAGGATGCATGGATAGAACACCCCTCCTTATCAGAAAAGCCTTAAGAGATGTGTATGGGGAGGTGGCTGCATGCATATGAAATCGAGAGGGAAGGAGAAGGCCCAAGGGTGGGGCGAGTGAGCACTCACAGTTTTTCTGAGATAAAAGAGCAGTCTCTGAAATATTTCCATCTGTCCTCGAGATGTCAGTTGACAAGAGAAACCAACAGCATACCCAGTGGACCTAGAATAAACTTTTTATCTTTGAGTCAGATTCTCAGAACTTTGTTTTTTTATATTGTTAGTGATCTTCATGACTTCCCAAAATATCCAGCACCTCATTTTTTCACATGTAAGTATTGTAAATACCTTGTTTATTTTAATCACAACAACAAAAAAAAAGTGAGTCCAAACTTAGTGTCAAGAGATGTGTGTGGTGGCTGGGTGTGGTGGCTTATACCTTTAGCCTGTAATCCCCATTACTTTGGGAGGTCCAGGTGGGAGGATCACTTGATGCCAGGAGTTCGAGACCAGCCTTGGCAAAAAAGAGAGACCCGATCACTACAAAAAAACTAAAAGGAAGGGATGTTAGAATATTTAAACAAAAATCTACTTTGCATTTTTAATATGCACCATTTTGATAAATATGATGATTCAGTTTTAGGCCTTAACAGAGAACAAATAACGATAAAGAGAGTATTATTATCAGCAGACAAAACTGTTAGTAAACCGCTCAAAACATATAGAATTTTGGAGTCCCTCAGACTAGAACCAAAACACCCAGTATATTTAGTGGGTCTTGAGGTATCCTTGTATGGCAGCATTAAACAGTAAGCATTATTATTAATGACACTGATGGGGAGTCAAAACCTCAATTATATTATATATATTCTGCTTAGGAAAGCAGGGACTTTAAAATGTTTTAGATATACGAATACATTTATTAAAGAAAAGCAATTTGGTGCTCAAAAACATAAATACTTGATTTCACTTGCGTCCGTGTGAAGAGACCACCAAACAGGCTTTGTGTGAGCAATAAAGCTGTTTATTTCACCTGGGTGCAGGTGGGCTGAGTCTGAAAAGAGAGTCAGTGAAGGGAGATAGGGGTGGGGCCGTTTTTATAAGATTTGGGTAGGTAAAGGAAAATTACAGTCAAAGGGGGTTGTTCTCTGGCGGGCAGGAGTGGGGGTCACAAGGTACTCAGTGGGGGAGCTTTTGAGCCAGGATGAGCCAGGAGAAGGAATTTCACAAGACAATGTCATCAGTTAAGGCAGGAACAGGCCATTTTCACTTCTTTTGTGGTGGAATGTCATCAGTTAAGGCAGGAACCGGCCATCTGGATGTGTACATGCAGGTCACAGGGGATATGATGGCTCAGCTTGGGCTCAGAGGCCTGACATTCCTTTCTTCTTATATTAATAAGAAAAATAAAACGAAATAGTGGTAAAGTGTTGGGACGGCGAAAATTTTGGGGGGTGGTATGGAGAGATAATGGGCGATGTTTCTCAGGGCTGCTTCAAGCCGGATTAGGGGCGGTGTGGGAACCTAGAGTGGGAGAGATTAAGCTGAAGGAACATTCTGTGGTAAGGGGTGATATTGTGGGACTGTTAGGAGAAACATTTGTCATTTAGAATTATTGGTGATGGCCTGGATACAGTTTTGTATGAATTGAAAAACTAAACAGAATAAGAGAAGGAGAAAAACAGGTATTAAAAGACTAACAATTGGGAGGACCTAGGACATCTAATTAGAGAGTGCCTAAGGAGGTTCAGCATAGCCTTTCCAGTAAAGATTACTTATTTACTTTAAGAATTAAGAGTGGTGGTTTGGGGATAGCACCAGGAGGTATCAGCTGTGATGGCTTGGAGAAACAGTGTAAACCGGCAGTGTAAACAAGAGCAGGGCATGTATGAGTATTTGAGAACGGTGAATAGGAGTATGACTAGACAGAAGAGAGTAGGGATGACAAGTCTTTTGGGGCACAATCTAAGTTGGTCTGGTGTCTGGAATGAGACTGGGGCCTAATAAAAAGGAGCATCTATACGGGAGTTGAAATGGGCTGTACTTTGTAGCATTTTGAGGACAGGCCTGAATTCTGAGAAGGGGAAGTGGTAAAAGTATTGTCTATTCCTTTTTAAGTTGGTGGCTGAGCTTGGTAAGGTGTGTTTTTAAAAGACCTTTAGTCTGTTCTACTTTTCCTGAAGACTGAGGACTGTAAGGGATATAAAGGTTTCACTGAATACTAAGAGCCTGAAAAACTGCTTGGCTGATTTGACTAATAAAGGCTGGTCTGTTATCAGACTGTATAGAGGTGGGAAGGCTAAACTGAGGAATTATGTCTGACAGAAGGGAAGAAATGACTGTGGTGGCCTTCTCAGACCCTGTAGGAAAGGCCTCTACCTATCTAGTGAAAGTGTCTACTTAGACTAAGAGGTATTTTAGTTTTTGTGACTTGGGGCATGTTGAGTAAAGCTAATTTGCCAGTCCTGGGCAGGGGAAATCTTTGAGCTTGATTGATGTGTAGGGAAGGGAGGGGGCCTGAATAATCCTTGAGGAGTAGTAGAATAGCAGATGGAACACTGAGAAGTTATTTCCTTGAGGATAGATTTCTACGATGGAAAGGAAATGAGAGGTTCTAAGAGGTGGGCTAGTGGTTTGTACTATAGCATAGCCTGCCTTTGCTGGTGTGTGGCGATTAGGCCTGGTGGAACTGCCATCAATAAATCAAGCGTGATCAGGGTGAGGAACAGGAAAGAAGGAAATATGGGGAAATGGGGTGAATGTCAGGTGAATCAGAGAGATACAGTCATGGTGTGGTATCAGGTGTGGTATCAGGAATAATGTGGGAGGCTGGATTGTAGTCCGGGCCAGGAACAATGGTAATTGTGAGACTTAACAAAGAGTGAGTACAGCTGAAGGAGCCGGGGAGCAGAAAGTATATGCGTCAGGTATGAGGAAGAAAATAGATTTTGGAAGTTATGAGAAATGTAGAGTGAGTTGAGCATAGTTTGTGATTTTGAGGGCCTTTAAAAGTATTAGGGCGGCAGCAGCCACTGCATGGAGACATGATGGCTAGGCTAAAACAGTAAGGTCAAGTTGTTTGGACAGAAAGGCTACAGGGTGCGGTCCTGGCTCTTGTGTAAGAATTCTGACAGCACTAACCATGCCTAGGAAGGAAAGTTGTTGTTTTGTAAGGGATTGAGGTTTGGGACATTAATCGGACATGATCAGCAGGGAGAGCACGTGTGTTTTTATGAGAATTATGCTGAGATAGGTAATAGATAAGGAAGATATTTGGGCTTGATTGAAGTAATGGGGGCTGTCTGTGAAGCTTTGCGGCAGTACAGCCCAGGTAATTTGCTGAGCCTGATGGGTGTCAGGGTCAGTCTAAGTGAAAGCGAAGAGAGACTGGGATGATGGGTGCAAAGGAATAGTAAAGAAAGCATGTTTGAGATCTAGAACAGAATAATGGATTGTGGAGGGAGGTATTGAGAATAGGAGAGTATATGGGTTTGGCACCATGGAGTGGATAGGGAAAACAATTTGGTTGATAAGGCATAGATCCTGAACTAACTTGTAAGACTTGTCTGGTTTTTAGGACAGGTAAAATGAGGGAATTGTAAGGAGAGTTTATAGGCTTTAAAAGGCCATGCTGTAGCAGGCGAGTGATAACAGGCTTTAATCTTTTCAAAGCATGCAGTGGGATGGGATATTGGCATTGAGCGGGGTAAGGGTGATTAGGTTTTAATGAGATGGTAAGGGGTGCATGATCGGTCACCAAGGAGGGAGTAGAGGTATCTTATACTTGTGGGTTAAGGTGGGGGAATACAAGAGGAGGACGCAAAGGAGGCTTTGGATTGGGAAGAAGGGCAGCAGTGAGATGTAGCTGTAATCCAGGAATAGTCAGGGAAGCAGATAATTTAGTTAAAGTGTCTCGGCCTAATAAGGGAACTGGGCAGGTGGGGATAACTAAAAATAGTGCTTAAAAGAGTATTGTCAAAGTTGGCACCAGAGTTGGGGAGTTTTAAGAGGTTTAGAAGCCTGGCTGTCAATACCCACAACAGTTATGGAGGCAAGGGAAACAGGCCCTTGAAAATAAGGTAATGTGGAGTGGGTAGCCTCCGTATTGATTAAGAAGGGGATGGACTTACCTTCTACTGTGAGAGTTACTTGAAGCTCGGCGTCCATGATGGTCTAGGGGGCTTCTGAGGCGATCAGGCAGCATCAGTCTTCAGCCGCTAAGCCAAGAAGATCTGGGAAGGAGTCAGTCAGAGAGCCTTGGGCCAGAGTTCCAGAGGCTCTGGGAGTGGCTGCCAGGTGAGTTGAAGAGTCCGATTTCCAGTGGGGTCCTGCACGGATGGGACACGGCTCAGGAGGAATCCTGGGCTGCGGGCATTCCTTGGCCTGGTGGCCAGATTTCTGGCACTTGTAGCAAGCTCCTGGGGAAGGTGGTTCTGGAGGAATGCCTGGCCGCTGCGGTTCAGGCGTTTGGAAGTTCTTGTGTGCTGGAGATGTGGCTGGGGTTTGTCTCACAGTGGAGGCAAGGAATTGCAACGTTTTTCTATTATTGTACACCTTGAAGGCAAGGTTAATTAAATCCTGTTGTGGGGTTTGAGGGCCGGAATTTAATTTTTGGAGTTTTATTTAATGTCGGGAGCAGATTGGGTAAGAAAATGTATTTTGAGAATAAGACGGCCTTTTGACATTTTAGGGTCTAGGGCTGTAAAGTGTCTCAGGGTTGCTGCCAAACAAGTCATGAACTGGGCTGGATTTTTATATTTGACGAAAAACAGCCTAAACACTATCTGATTTGGGATAAAGAAAAAGGAGCATTAACCTTGACTATGCCTTTAGCTCCGGCCACCTTTTTAAGAGTAAATTGCTGGGCAGGTGGGGGAGGGCTAGTCACAGAACGAAACTATAAGCCAGACCAGGTGTGAGGAGGGGAGGTGATAAAAGGATTATAGGGTGGAGGAGCGGAGGCTGAGGAAGAATTGGGACCTAGCTCGGCCTGGCAAGGAGCAGCCTGGGGAGGAGGGGAGAGGTCAGATTGGTCTGTAGAAAAGGAAGATTAGAAAGACTCAGCGACGCTTGGGGTTGGGACTGAGGGGACAGATGGGAGGAAAAGAAGGAAGATTTGGGATGAGCTGAATTGGGAACAGAGACTAGAGAGGGACCAATGTGTAAAAGAATGCCTGGATGTCAGGCACTTCAGACTATTTTCCTATTTTATGACAAGAATTATTTAGATCTTGTAGGATGGAAAAATTGAAAGTGCCGTTTTCCGGCTATTTGGAACTACTGTTGAGTTTGTATTGGGGTCAAGCGGCATTGCAGAAGAAAATAAGATGCTTAGATTTTAGGTCAGGTGAGAGTTGAAGAGGTTTTAAGTTCTTAAGAACACAGGCTAAGGGAGAAGAAGGAGGAATGGAAGGTGGAAGCTTGCCCATAGTGAAGGAGGGAAGCCCGGAGAAAAGAGTAGAGACACAGAGAAGGGGTGGGGGGTTCTTGCCCTCCAGAAAAGCAGAGAAGGGGTCGGGTTGCAGAGATACCAGGTCGGGGTGTGGAAATAAGGGATCGGGGTGCAGAGATATAAGAGGTTGGGGCACAGAAATAAGGGATTGGGGCACAGAGATACAAGAGGTTGGGGCGCAGAAATAAGGGATCAGGGCGCAGAGATATAAGAGGTCGGGGCATGGAAATAAGGGATCGGGGTGCAGAGATATGAGGTTGGGATACTTGCCCCTCCCCCAGAAAAGTGGGACTTGCCACTCAGGGTGAAGGAGAAGGGGTTGGGGGTTTCTTGCCTGCTAGAAAGGTGGAGAAGGGGTAGAGACATGGAGAGAAGGGGTTGGGGTACTTGCCTTTCCTTCAGAAAAGCAGGACTTGCTGCTAAGGGTGAAGGACCAAGGCAGGCGTCCCTGCGTGGTCTGACACCTCTGAAATGTGGGTGAATAATCAAGAGAGGCGTCCCTGCAATGATTAAACACCAAGGGAAGGCTGCCTTCCCAGTCCGTGACTGGCGCCGGAGTTTTGGGTCCACGGATAAAATGTGTCTCCTTTGTCTCTACCAGAAAATGAAAGGAATTGAAATTAAGAGAAGGGAGAGATTGAAGAGTGGAAAGGAGAAAGTGGTTGAGGGATAGTGAGAGAGGTTGGAGAAGAGAGTAAGAGGCCGCTTACTGGATTTAAAATTGGTGAGATGTTCCTTGGGCTGGTGGGTCTGAGGACCTGAGATCGTAGGTGGATAGGTGGATCTTTTTCACAGAGCAAAGAACAGGACAGGGGATTGATCTCCTAAAGGAGGTACCCTGATCCAAGTCACGGCACCAAATTTCATGCGCGTCCGTGTGAAGAGACCACCAAACAGGCTTTGTGTGAGCAATAAAGCTGTTTATTTCACCTGGGCGCAGGCGGGCTGAGTCTGAAAAGAGAGTCAGCGAAGGGAGATAGGGGTGGGGCCGTTTTTATAAGATTTGGGTAGGTAAAGGAAAATTACAGTCAAAGGGGGTTGTTCTCTGGCGGGCAGGAGTGGGGGTCACAAGGTACTCAGTGGGGGAGCTTTTGAGCCAGGATGAGCCAGGAGAAGGAATTTCACAAAACAATGTCATCAGTTAAGGCAGGAACAGGCCATTTTCACTTCTTTTGTGGTGGAATGTCATCAGTTAAGGCAGGAACCGGCCATCTGGATGTGTACATGCAGGTCACAGGGGATATGATGGCTTAGCTTGGGCTCAGAGGACTGACACTTGATATCTGGAAAATTCACTGAAACAGAAAGTTGCAATTTCCAATAATTTAAATAGCATAGGCAATATTGTTCAAAAAAAACCCCAAAGACAAATACATGTATTTTTCATATATCTGCATTTATCCAATAGTATAGAATTAGCAAGAAATACACACACGTGCATGCATGCACACACACACATACACACACAGGCGCACATACCCCTCAAACAGAGCAGCCACTAACGAGAGAAGAACATCGACACTTTCTTTTGAATTTGGTTTCAGGAGTGCTTATTACATTTCTGGCTATTAGAAGGTATTGTGCTGAAATTGATTTAATACTCAAAAAATCCCTTTTTTTCCTAAATAGTCTTAACTGGAGGGATCATCTGTTTCTAAAGTTGTAAAAGTTGTCTTTGTTTAAATGAGAGGCTCCATCCCGTTGAAAAACAAACACTTATTAACAGGAATTTATGCCTGAATGTACTATGACTCTTCTAAAGAAATCAAGTCTGCTTAGCTAGCATCTAGGTTTATTTCTTGTGAAAATGGCAATATGTTGTTGTTTTTTAATCTGTGATTAAAGGTCAGTATGTTTTTTAAAATAATATTTTATGGAAATAAAAATAACAATGGCATTAATGTAATTATACATGTTAAGGAGAAAATGAGATATCTGTATTTAAAAAAAAGGTTTTTTTTCCTTAAATGTGCAAAACAGCACAGGGCAGTTTAGGGCTCTTCATAGCTATCTTCATGTACACATTTATTTGGCTTACGAGCACTCTTCTTCCTTAGCTTTTCCCATCCCCTATCACCACCCTCTAATTTGTTACTCTTTTTAATATTTTCCAGAATATAGAATGACAAAGACTTGCTTTTAGTCTTTGAAAACACTAGTGGCAATAAAAAGATGGGAATAAACTTTCCCACTCTGGGCAATTCCACTCAGGAAATATTTTAAGACTTCATAGAAATTAAGTACTTTTTTCTTTCTTTTTTTTTTAAACCTAGTCCAAACCTACTAAAAATTCACAATTTCTGCTGCCTAATGCGTTTATTCATGGCCTCTATATATTCTCCTCTATAACCTCTTCCTTCATGTCTTCATTTTAATAATATTGCTTATGTGAAAATTGCTGGATAAATTATTCAATTTTTTCTATTATCCAGTATATCTGCATTAAAACTGATAACCCATTTCTGTAAATACATCCATAATAATTTAAGTTAGCCTTCTCTGCTTATTTGTCTGCTTGCCCGCCTGTCTCTCTTTAGCTAGCTCCTTACATTCCCTTCTCAAGCCTTTGGCTAGGATGAACTTGAAGTACTTTGTTTCTGTTTGTTATATAATGAAGACAAGCTGCTAAGTAGATGCAAATGCTAATTCTGTAGTTACTTTTCATTTCACATGAAATTTCATTAGTGTTGTTAAGTATGGAAAATTAATTACTCCTTAATCACAAGTCCACAGAACTTAATCACCAACTACAAATAACTATGTTGAAGGGTAATGCTACAGATCAACCATAAATCAACAAAGCAGGAAAATTTTGCATTAAGGCCAAAATCCAGGTGAATACTCATGACCTCTAATTGCTAATAAAGAAATGAATACAATCTCTTGTGGTAGAACCAAATTTTTCAAGCATTCACTTATTCAGTAATTAAAAAAAATTGTATTTTCTTTGGGCCAGACTCAGGGGCTAAAACAAAAATAATATAATCTCTGCCCTCAAAGAGTTTACAATCTCCTTGTAGTCCCTTTGAGACTCTGTCTCGGAAAAAAAAAAAAAGAAAAAGAGTTTACAATCTACTAGGGGAATCTGAACAAGTAAAAAGACAGCAAGATTAACAGTTTGATGAATGGTCTGCAAGGTGCTTTGAGAAGGTGACAGAAGAAGCCACTAATGCAACCTTAGGGTGGTTCGTGACAGTTTAGTAGAAATTGTGAAGTCAAGATTTACTCCTATCTTTTCTTCTTTTTCATCAACTTTCTTCAGTGGGACTTACATTGTTTTTAAATGGCCAACACAGCCATGTGCCTTCATTCTCCTTGGCAGCTGGTGAGAGCCTGTTGTTAGCATCTCTTCCTAACTCCCTAACTCCTGTTTTCAGGGACATTATGTTAGTTAGTAGATTCAAATTTGTAATGGGAATCATATTTACACCATGGGAAATGGAAAATGCTACAAAGCAGGACTTTAAAAATTCCTCCAGAGTTGGTGGTTAAACATTTACCAGCATACCACCTGGCCAAGGAATGTAGTATTCTTTGGTTCTACTGGAAAATTCAGTGGAAAATTCAGTTTTCCAGTATCTATAAGGCATAGTCCCTAATAAAGCAGGAATTAGAGCTACAAATAAGACATTATTGCTGTCCTTCTAGAATTTACAATAGGGAGGATAAGACAAGTCACAAATCACTGTACCTTAAGACCAAATCTATTTAAAAGGTACAAGAGGAGAGAAGAATGGGTAGGAGGACTGTCCTAAATATACATTTCAATAGTTGGTCTATGGATTGTTGGGTCATTAGGGGCCCAGGTAAAGCCTGTGGGTCACCCATTCAAGGGTTATTTGTTGTTTTGGAAGATAGAGTTTCTCAACAGTTTTTATCAACCTCCAATCCCTCTGTAGGATTCTACCCAATGTAAACAATAGAAAGATGTAGTGTAACATAGTGTTTAAGAATGTCGACATTGGTCACTGAGTGCCTTGATCCCTATACTCCATTATTATGCAATACTAGGAAAATTGCATGAACTCTTTGGGCTTTAGACTTCTCTTTATTAAAATTGGAATAGTAATAGTACTTAATTCATGGAAACTTTTGGATGATTAAATTAGTCGAAGATGTAAAAACATTGAGAACTTGCCTGGCTCATGGTGCACAGACAAATGTTATCTATAGTCATTATTAACACATATTCACAAGGACTGGCAGCTTCCACAAAATGGGTTAGACATAACCTGATCCTACAATTTCAAATACTTTTAAGAACCTCTAGAAGTGATTGCTAATCTCTGAGCTTGATGAAAAGTGACAAATATAAAGATTAACCACAGGATTTTGTGGTTAAATGTCTTTATAATTTTTTCTTAATATTTGCTATCCAAACTTCTCTTTCTAGTATCATGAAAAGATGTAGTAGATATTATTTCTCTTATTTTATTTTTTTAAAGATTTGTGTAATCAATGAGAGAAAATTCATGGATCTGAAAATACAATGAAAGCTTCATAAAATGATATTTTAAAGAAAAATAAGGTTGAAATATTTTTTAAAAAACTTAAGCACTTAAAAAAAATATAAGACTTCTCTCTCCCCTTGGTGGTCGGGAAATTATTAACTACCTGACCACACCAATAAACTCTTTATTTAAAAGCAATGAAGAAAAGGTGACCTTTCAACATAGAACTCCTACTTCACTTAAAATTCCACTTCTGGTGTTCCAGGAATCCCGTTGTAAAGCCTTGCTTATGACCACAAATGTGACAGGAGCTGGAATTATTTCTGAGATATAATACAGGCATTTATGATGATTATTACTCACTTACAAAATTATTCGTCAATGAAAACCTGCTATACAGGACCTAAATCCATAAGACCCAAGAACCACAAATCACCCGTGTAAAAAGCCAAACTATATGCTCATTTATGGAGTGATGCTTGATTAGAAGATAGGAAGAAGAGAAGGTGAGCCAAGGTTCTTTTATGGGATTTTAATAAACCCTGTGACTGTTGCATGAAACCTAACTTGACCCCAGTAATATACATGCTACCATGTTGCAGATACTGGTGTCAAAAAGAGACAACCAGTGTTCTTGGATACAACTAATTGGTGAAGATGTTGTGCAAATCACCGACCGTCTGGATCTCATTTTCTTTTTTTTGAGGATGTTGGGTTAGACACAATTGTTTTGTTGTAATGGTTTTCAAACTGTGCTCCGAGTCCTCAGCACCCAAACAGAGGAGTCTCAAGGATGACATTGAAAGGACAGCAATATAACCATCAGGAATTCAGGCTACCTTCCACCCCTCCAGTCATTAAATCAAGCAACACTGCTTTGGTGGGTTTTACAGATTAAATATTTATCACTTTCACATTTGCTATAAGCAGATTTTGCTTGAGAAGAGATCACTGGTTAAAAGTTGAAACCATTAAATTGGTTGTACCTTAAAGACTGGAGACTCTACAGTTTCCCTGTCACACGTTTAAGAGGTGATACTTCATGTAATACTCAAAATTAGCTCATGCTACTTAAATTACTTGACTCATAATTACTTAGGACATAGATTACTACATACAATCTTGATGAAATATAATGAATAGGAGGTGAATATTCAGCATAGTTGAGGTCCTTTAAGAATGTTAAATGTTACTAGTTAACAAAACTAATATGATATCCCATTAGTTTTCAGGCATCTTTCACTTAATTCCTTTTTACATCTAAGGTGGTAATCACAGAATTTCATACTGCAAAGTACCCTAAGAGACCCTACGATTTTAAAGGTGAGTGAACAGAGGGTTACCCAGAGCTCTTCCTTCCTTCCTTCCTTCTTTTCTTCCCTTCCTTTTTTCTTTCATTCATTCAGCAATTTTTTTTTTTTTTTTTTTTTTGAGATGGAGTTTCACCTTTGTTGCCCAGGCTGGAGTGCAATGGCATGATCTCGGCTCACCACAACCTCAGCCTCCCAGGTTCAAGCGGTTTTCCTGCCTTAGCCTCTGGAGAAGCTGGGATTACAGGCATTTGCCACCACAGCTGACTAATTTTGTATTTTTAGTAGAGACAGGGTTTCTCCATGTTGGTCAGGCTGGTCTGGAGCTCCCGACCTCAGGTGATCCACCTGCCTCGGCCTCCAAAAGTGCTCGGATTACAAGCATGAGCCACCACGCGCAGCCCACCCAACAATTTTTTTAATATTTACAAGGAGACTAGCACTCTACTAGCACTGGGAATATGCAGTTCTAAAAGAATACCTGGTGCTTGTCTCATGAAACATGCAGTCTAGAAGAGGAGACACACATGTAAACTGCTTGTTTGAGTATTGAGTACTGATGCTAGGGGATAAATTTCAAGGGTGCTTGTTGAAGCAAGGTGAAAGGCTTTTAAATCGGAAGCAAGTAGGGATGATCATGGAGGAAGCAGCACTTAGAGTGACTTTTGAATATGAGTAGGAATTGAGTAGACAAAAGGTGTGTGCAGGGTTGTAAGTGCGTGGTATGCCAGTGGTGGAGAAAGCATTCCAGGTGGAGGAAAAAAGGCACAGATGTCCATTCCAGATGACGCATTCAAGGATCTACACGATTTTCAGTAAGGCTGGCTGGAAAGATGCATGTCAGAACAGTGTTGGGAGATGAGAGCTATAGGGAGCAGAGAGATTGTAAAGGGTCTTGCAAGAAAAAGCTTATGATTTTGAATTTTACCTTAAAAGTGTTACGAAGTCACAAGGGGATGCCATTATCAGCTTATACTATAGAAAATAACTGGCAGGACTGTGTTGAGAAATTGGCAGGGACCAGTCTAGAGATGGAAGACCAATTGTAATGTTCTTTCAGTGGTCCAGGAAAAAGGGATGACAGCTATGGTAAGTGGTAGACAGAACTGACATAAAGGGATGAACCTATAACAAATCAATTAGCAATTAACCCTGACTTTACTGAATGGTCTAAGAAAAATACATGGTAAGAAATAGATTATGTTGGTCCTCCCAAGGACATGGCTACACTTGACAGTAAAGATCAGCATGTTATTGCAGTTCCAAACTTAGCAAATACACTCACAAGTACTTCCCAGTCATTGCATTTGGCCATTCAACCCTCATAAGTTCATCATTAAGCAAATGTTTCCTGCAGAGTTAAATATAGTTACTGTGTTTGGCTTTTTTGTTTGCTTTTTTTTGGACAGAATAACAGAAAAATTGTGATTTTTCTGACCTTGAGATTCCTCTAGCTGAATGTTAGATGCACTCTTCATCATTCTGAAGTGAATCCAATAAAATGTAAGTTCAGAGAGAGATATACTACTCTCTGCCAAACTGTCTAGAAAAAGATAAAATTAGTTTAGGAAAATAATTCATGTCCATTAGATAGATCAAGATGATCAATGTATTCAATGTTTAGAACCGGATGTATATGCTGCAGTGAATTATGTCATAAAACTTGGGTGTAGTTAAGTTGATATGGATGTGTAAAAGGATCTGTATTGTAAACTATGGAAACAGAAAGAGCTTATTTTATTAAAACTGATTATTACAACTATTAGAGACAAAAGTGGATCCAAACATTGTAATTTACTGGGAAGATTTCACGCTCGTGGAATTCACTGGTTTTACCATGTTTCCCATCATCCTGATGCAGCTGGCTTTATAGAATGATGGAATGGCCTTTTGAAGTTGCACATGCAGCTCCAGCTGGATGATAACAGTTTTCAGGGCTGGGGCAAGGTTCTCCAGAAAGCTGTAGATGCTCTGAATCAGTGTCCCATGTATGGTACAGTTTCTCCCATAGCCAAGATTCATGAGTCTTAGAATCAAGGGGTGGAAATGGGAGTGGTACCACTCACCATTACCCCTAGTAACCTACTAGCAATTTTTTTTCTTCTTGTTCTTGTGACTTTATGCTCTGCTGGCTTAGAAGTCTTAGTTCCAGAGGAAGGGATTCTTCTGCCAGGAGACACAATGATTCCATTAAACCGGAAGTTAAGATTACCACCTGGTCACTTTGGGCTCCTCATGCTTCTGAGTCAACAGGCTAAGAAGGGAGTTATGATGTTCGCTGGGGTGATCTTTTCAGAATACCAAGGGGAAAGTGAACCAGTACTCCACAGTGGCGGTGAGAAAGAGTATGTCTAAAATACAAGTGATCCTTTGGGAGTATTTCTTAACATTACCATTCTCTATGATTAAGTTCAATGGGAAACTATAGCAACCTAATCCAGGCAAGACTGCAAATGGCTCAGACCATTTAGGAATGAAGGTTTAGGTCACCTTTGCCCCCCAGATAAAGAACCATGACCAGCTGAGGTGCTTCCTGAAGTCAAAGGGAATACAAAATGGATAATAGAAGAAGATAGCTATCAATACCAGCTACAACCAAATGATCAGTTATAGAAACAAGGACTGTAATTGCCATGAATATTTCCTCCTTATTTTGTAAGAATATGTTTGTGTATATATATATACACATACATTAAACAATTATCTTTGCTTTCTTTCCTCTCTTATTCATTTATTATGTAATATAAGATGCATTGAGTTTCTATCAGTATTTAAATATTGTTAATATTTCATCATAGTATTTAAGTTATGGAATATCAGGAGAAAAGTGAGCATCACTTAAGAACTTTGCCTCCTCTTCTAGTGATGGGATTAGTGCGTTTTTGGTTGTATGCAGAACAGTTGTATCATGTTTGATAAAACTGTAACATTGTTAATTGCCTTTATTGAAGATTGTGTGGTTTAAGGAGATGCGTATGGATGCCAAGTTGATAAGGTATATGCTTATGATGGTTAATTTGAAGGTGTCAGCTTGACTGGAGTGAGGTATGCCCAGATATGTGGTATAGCATTATTTCTGGGTATATCTGTAAGGGTATTTCTGGAAGAGATTGACCTTTGAATCAGTGGACTGAGTAAGGAAGATCTGCCTTCACCATCCAATCAACTGAGGGCATGAATAGAATAAAAAGGAAGAAGGAAGGTGAATTCTCTCTCCCTCTGTGTGAGCTGTACACTCTTCTTCTTCTGCCTTTGGACATCAGAACTCCAGATTCTCTGGCCTTTGGACTCCAGGACTTGCACCAGCAGCCCCTCAATTTTTTAGGCCTTTGGCCTTGGACTGAAAGGTATACTAGTAGCCCCTCTGGTTCTGAGGCACACTACTGGCTTCCCCGGTTCTCTTACTTGTAGATGGCCTATCACAGGACTTCTTAGCTTCCATTAGTGCATGAGTCAATTGCCCTAATAAATCATCTATCTATCTATCTATCTATCTCTGATTGGTTCTATTTCTCTGGAGGACCCTAATGCACACCATGGCAGGGCTATTATAGCATTTAAGAGCAAAGACTTCAGAATCAGACAGATATATGTCCAAACTTTGTCTCTGCTGTTAAGTAGATATGCTCCTCATTTGTAAAATGGGGATAAACATATATTTCCTGTTGTGTAGGGTAGTTATAGAAAATCAATAAGATAACAATATTCATTGATTCATTCTATACTTACTCATTGGGAATTTGCTTTCTCTTAGGCACTCTTTTAGGTGATGGAGATTTAAAAAGTGAATAAAAAAGACAAGGTCCTTATACATGGGAGCCCTATACCCTCCAATGCATTACATTTTGTGGGGACTCACTACCAAGGCTGTCTGGCATATAGGAAGCTCTTCATAAATGTTAGTTGTACTGAATATTAGCTAATCGTTTCTTTGAGTCAGAATCCAAAAGCAATGCTAGTTTCAACTTTGTCAATGCAGCTTTTAGAAACATTATTAAGATCAATATAAGTCTGGCTGGAGTAGCATTTTTAAAAAGTCCTGGCTCTTAAAACAGAAAAACCTAGGTACTGTAATTTATGAAAATAAAACTGCCACAAGAATCTAAGGACAACATTTTACCCTAATGAAAATGCAGATAAACTCAAGGTCTGCTGTTTAGGCCATTCTGAGATATTACCACATTTATCAAGGATTTAGAACATCCAAAAGTTTCTATCCTATCACCAGCTGAATGCATTTTTTTTAAAAAAAATGGACTGTTCCATTATTAAATGATGCTTGATAGCTCTCTGTTTGATGGAGCAATCTTCTGGGTGGCCAGGAAAAGCTGCTACAACTTTCTTAACAGCCTCTCTCATCTGGCAATGGAAGCCTAGTCATTTAAATAAAAAAAGGGCAGAGAAAACGCTGAGAGGCAGTTTGCTCTAACTCAACCTTTTCAAATGACTACACTAATTTTAAATATATGAATTTAACTGTATGTTTGCCCCTCTATAAACAGGGCGAACAAACAGTATATCATTTTTACACTTGAACTGTATTATGATTTTAATGCAGGCTCAGGTGAGGTGAGGTCAGAAGATACAATTAAATGGATCTGGTACCAGCTGGAGATTAGGCTCTCTTTAACCATGCTTGGGTGGTTTATCCATCAACAACTCATGTACTGCTCCATAAAAATTGATATCTGTTTAAAAATAGGTATTAAAATACAGTGTACTTTTAAAATTAGAGACTAAAATATTATGTAGTTGCCAGCAGGTAGTTTATTTAATATTCATGTACAATATCAAACAGAAAGATTCCTGTTCTTGGAACAAAAATCTATTAGAATAAATCTGTCCTAGTTGCAGGAGTTTCTGTGCTTGGTCAAGTCCTTGGAAACAAATGCAGAAACAGACTTTTATATCATTACAAATCCTTGACATGGTGGAATGGTGATATATAACTGCCACCCTTGTTAAATAGCTCTATCTGTTCCTCAAAGATTTATTTTAATGTTGTTCTTTCATGAAAGGCTGTTTAAAAGCAAAAACAGGAAAAAAGGGAAACAGAAATGCAAAGTAAACAGGTTTATTAAGGATAATAAAAAATCTTGGTGATTTTATATATTCTACTGTGAATTATGAATGGTGGACTTCAGTCTTGAGGTTGAATTTGGTTTCTAATAGACATAAATTCAAATATTTGAATTTTTTACATCTAAAGCTGACTTGCAGCTGTAAGGGCAATCATTTGTCTACTAATATGCATATCAAAAATTTAAACAAATGAACGTTTAAAAGTAATATTTGATTAACCATTCACTGAAAGAAAAGTAATTCTGCCTGTCCAATTCAGTAATTTATATAGTTTAGTGATTTGCTTGTCAATAATGAACAAATTGCCCTAATATATTACTGTAATGCTTCATTTTCATTAAGACATCTGCCAACTTTTCAAAAAAGCTTTTCCATTTGGGACTTGACTTATAATTGTAGAGTCCCTTGGGGGAGTTTCAATATTATTCTAATCAATTTTATCCACAATACACAATATGGATGATTACATTGCAATGTAATTTCCAAAGTTCCCTTCTCACATTAGTCATTTGCAAGGAGAGGAGACACTGCAGATGTCTCCAGAACGTATTTTAGAAAATAAACTTACTGCAGCAATGGAGCAAAGAATATTTTTTCATTGTTTGAAATGCATCACAACATGAATATGTATATGTGCAGATATGCTTATATAATTTACAACCACACTTCAAAGCTTTATGGTCTATAACATTTATGTGTTATTTTTATGCAATAAGATGATAAAGGATTTTACAACCACAAGATACAAGAGTTGGAAAGACCTCCCAGATGATCTTCCGGTATGTCAACTGCGGTGATAATGCTATAGTCTTTTCCTTTTTTTTTTTTTTAATGATAAGGGGAAGCAGATAATAAATTTAGGGAAAGCTGGAAAAATAAAAGTTATCTTAGTCTCACTCCAAACTAAACTGAAGCTCCAAAAAAGCCATTCAACTTGCCTCGATCCAGAGCAAGCTTAATATCTAGGCTCCCTTTATTGCTCTTCATTTTATTTTTAAACTTCTCTTGACCCAGGTGGGGAAGAGTTGCTACTTATTGAGGCGATCACCAAATCATCATCAGCCTTCTTTCTGGTCATCTTATCTATCTTTTAAGGAATATAAAGCCTACTCTTTACGTGATAGAGAAGCTTTCCTTCAGTTTAGCAGTGAGTAGTGAAGAGTAGGTGAATATTAATAGGGCTAAAAATATTTTAAATGTATAGAAAGAAAAGAAAGTCAGAGTAAAGAGTTATAAATAATAAAACTGATAAAGAATAAGTCAGTGGCAGCATAGGGAAATTTTAGTTACTTAGATTTTCTACTTGTTTTTACCAAGTTTTTTTTTCTCTCTCTCTCTTTTAAAGTACTAGCAGGGAGTAGCAGAAATTAGCTCCAATTCTCAGGATTCTACATCCAAAGTTGTTTCCTGTTTTTAAAGTATTTATAAATTGTACAACAAATCATCTTCATTTAAATTTTTTAAAAACTTTCTATTTTACTGTTAAGTTGAATGAATTAAAATGAACAGCACTGGCTCCTTCTCCACCAAAGTAGGTACTAATTCATCATTGAAGTAAATAACGTTGCCATTATTAAATGTTTACCATGTACGAAGTAATTTCGTAGAATACATGTAAAGAAAACTTTAGAACATTACCTAGGGACACAAAAGAAAGCTTGAACAACTAGAAAGCCATATTGTCTGAAAGTAAGAAGATTCAATACATTAAAGCTCTCAGTTCTATTTAAATTGAAGAGTCATCAAAATCGGTCTGATCAAAATATTACCAAGCTTTTTTTTTTTTTTTTTAACTTGAAGGAATGAGCTTTTCTGAAAAAATGACCTTAGAATCCATGGAGAAAGGGGGCAAAGTATTCCAAACTGGGAAAATGGGTGGGCCAAGTTTTAGGGGCAGTAATTTGAAAAGAATGTTCAGAAGATGTTAAGTCAGTCAATCAAATGTGTCTGTTAGATTGAAATCCAGAGGTCATATAGGACAAAGGAAGAAGATTAAGTTATAAAAGTAGGGTAGAGCCAGACTAAGGGGAAACTTGTGATTCTAAACTAAATATGGGGACTTCCTTCCAAAAGGGAATAATTTAAGGGTTTTGAGCCAGGGAATTACACTTGGAAGGAGCTACTTAAGATCAGCCTGCCAGTAGTGTACCTGATGAACTGGAAGAAGGAGAAGAAATTCTGCACAGAGAGAATAGTTAGAAAGCTATTGAAATAATCTATGCATGAAACAGTAAGGACCCAGAATAAAATCATATCATTTATACATGCAAGGACTTTAAGATTATGCAGTGACTTCCTGGCTTTTTAAAAATTGTTTTAACTGTGAGCCATAGTAAGAAATGTGTTTTACACACATACACACCCAAAAATGTTTAATAGGAATGTTTATCCTTAGTATTTATGATGACATTTGGCATTTTTAGCTCTATTCTTTTTACATTTTAGAAAATGCTGGTGGGAACACATTGTATTTATTTTAAGATTTTCTAAAGGTTGGACCAGCTGTTTGTAAAACATGGTCTGGTGCAACACCTTCACTTTTCAGAAGAGAAACTGAGGCACAAAAACTAAGTGGCCTTCTCAGGGTCTTACTTTGAGTGATTAGAGACCAGAGGCCTGTGAACTTGCAATACCATAGTTAGGATGGTACTGTGGTAGAAACAGATAACCAGGAACAGATTTGAGAGTGATTTTAGAAGAGGAATAAACAAGACAAAGTGACTAGCCATGAAAATTTAAAGTCAACTGAGATTTTGTTCCTGGTTAATTGGGTAAACAGATTTGCCATAAAATTACAGGCATCTGAAAAAGGAACCAGCGTGGGAGATATGTAATGAGTTCACGCTGAATTTGAGAGGGCAGAGGGACAGTCAGACTGCAGCAGGTAGGGGAAGCTGTAAGATAAAGCATTCAAATGAAAAAACTTGTAGGTTATCTATTTGAGAATGATCCGATGGTATTTAATATAATGAAAGTGCATTGAATACCTCTCCTATTCATGACCCTGTTATAGGTCTTAGGGATTCAAAGATGAGCAAAATCAAGTCCTAATACATGAGAAGCTCTCATTTAAAATTTTGCTGATAGTGTTAAACATCCTTGGAATTAAATCATTATTGTTGCTAAAAAGTCAATACAATTTATTTTCAAGACCTCTAAACATTTCAATCTTCTACAGTTTGATCCAAAACTTTTACATAGGGTTTTACATCAACTTGCATTCTTATTATTAAATACTTTTTTAGTAATAGTCTCTCTCTCTCTCTTGCTCTGTGTGTGTTAGTGTGTGTGTGTGTGTGTGTGTGTGTGTGTGTGTGTGTGTGTAGAGTGTCTTTCTTTTTGACATCCACCAATATTCTTTCAGGTGGCAAGTTGCCTCTTACCAGATTACCTCTGAAAAGAAACAGCTTCTGACAGGGAAATGAGCAGCTGGGTGGCAGCTCACAGCAACTCTGTTATTTTGCACTGATACAGCATTGTAATATAAATGGCTGAAATGCAATCTGAAAATAGTCATTCATCTCAAACAAACTCCACAAAGCTGGTTAGCATTTAAGCAGTTATATTTAAGGGCTGACTTCTTTCTAGGTGCCTCCCTTTCTTTAATGATAATGATGGTGATTTTCACACTGCCCATTTGAGGGAGGAAGGAGGGGTGCCAAAACCAAGGCTCAAGCATTGTAGCAATTGAGAAAAATCTGCAGCAGAACCTCAAGAGAATCCAGGGTCCCTTGTACCAAATCCCTTTATGCCATTTTCCATTTTACCCAAATAACTTAGAGTTTTACCTGTAGGAAAAATAAAACAAAGAAACTTACTGGCCATCATAGAGTCTGAACTTAAATAACTAGCACTGGTTACATATCATTTCATCTCTGGAAATGATTCTAGGCTCAGAGATTCTTGTTACTTTTAACTCTTTAAGTTTGCATAGTCTTCGAACCTATAAAATATTTCCTAACATTTCAACCTTTTAGATCACTGAAGAAAATTTCTAGCCATCTATTTGCTCTACTAAAGAGATCTTTGACCTATACCTTATCTCACACTAGTCCATGGGTCACTCTTGCTAACTCACCGTCATGGTGAATAGTCAGCTTATTTCAAGTTCCTTTAACCAATGATTAACGTATATACATCTCCCTTGCTACCCCACTTATCTAACACAAATGGGCATCCCAAATAATCTGATAGCATGAAATAGATGATTATGCCACAGGCAGAATAAAAAAGGAAGAGAGATGGGAGAGACAGAGAGACAATTTAGTTAACCAGGATATTTTGATAAGGTTGCATCATACACTTTTTTGTGTATATAGATAATGAACAACATCTCATACCTGGGAGTTACTTCATCTTTGATGAAGCGAGACTCAGTGAAGCATGAGATTAGGGATGGAATGAGGTTTCTAATGAGGTTCTAGGATATAAAAATATTTGGTACCAATATTTCATGTTTTTTTAAATTCAAGTTTTATGATTGAGCTTTTCATGCTGCATCAAAGTGTCATATATCAAAAGAGACTAAATAAAGTACCTGTGACAAAATATCATTTGTGTCAAAATGGTCAATTTAAAGAAATTTGTAACCTAATGTAGTATAGTGGTTCTCCTCCCAAGGGACATTTGGCAATGTCTGGAGAAATTTTAGATTGTTACACATAGGAAGAGAGATGTTTCCTACTGGCATCTAGCAGGTAGAGAGAGACTGGAGATGCTGCTGAACATTCCATAATGCATGGAATACCTCCCTTAACTCCCCAAAAGTGTCAATAGGTGAGAAAACCTTTTGAGATCTCTTCAGTAGAGCAAATAGATGGCTGATGTTTTTGAGAGAGTATAAAAACAGAGGAGAGAACAACGTAATAGATGTCTATCCTAAAGGCTGCTTTTATATTCATTACAATAAACAATTCTGGCTTTCTCTGCAAGTTCCCTGTTGAATTCTTGTCTACTTTCTGACTCTGATCCTGAACTAGTGGGCCCACTTCTGGGAATTTATCTCATGGAAATAATCTAAAAGAAAGACATTGTCATAAGCATGTTGTTTGCAGGGTTATTTACAACCTAAATTTTACCCCAATTGTTAGATAAATTGATTTAGAGGTCAGAATGCAGCATCCAAGATAAAAATATAGATTCTGCAGTCATAACTGAAATTCAGGAGAAAGGTCAAAACAGATGATATAAATATGGAGTATTAACATTGCCCGAAGATTCAACATATGTATCTCTCTAAATGAAATTTAGTCTTTTCCCATTCCTTACCTGTCTGGTTCTGGCTGGCAGAAGACTCAACTTCAATTATTATTGTTGGTTCCCAACCTCTCTCTTCCTTCAATAGAGTTATAAAAGAAACCTGAGCTTATTTTGGGCTGGAAACCTTGTGAAAGACCAGGCTCTTAGTTTGAGAGTCTGTATTTTTAGGGTTGCTTTTTTTTGAGTATGTGATGCTGCTTTTGAGCCCTGGTACCCGCAACATAAATGTACTCAGAGATGTCGTCCTAAATATCAGGCTATCTACCCAGAGTGGGCCAGGGAGGTTTGCTGCCTGGAATCAGAGAATGAGCTGTGCCACCCTTGTCTGATTTGAGATGCTTCAACTTACTTCTGGTCAGATCCTGCTCCATCTGTTTTTCCCTCTCAAAAATCTCTTCTTTGTGAGCCTGAAACACGAAAGCTTCTTTATTCTCCATTTCTCTAAAGGCCAAGGAAGATAGTTCTTACAGAAACTCCAGAAAGCTCTTTCCTTGATTTGGGAGTTAAAGGAGAAACTCACAATTATTAGTTTCCTTCCTAATAGCTCATTTTTTACATTAACAGCATACACATAATAAAGGTATGGAAGAATAGTTGCAAATCATAAGCAAGAAAAATAAGTGTACAGCAAAAGGTTGAAGATACTTTGCTTCTAGTGAATGTCGATAGGAGGAGAAGCCAATGTAAATATAGAAAATTGTAATCAGATATGGGAAATGTTCAAAAAAGGAGATATTGGTTATAATCAAGTCTTCTAGAAATTCCAGAAAGATGGAGGATGACAAAGCCTGATAAGTGATTTTAATTTGATCACTAGTAGATCACCAAGACAATGAAATCTTCAAGAGTGCAATTTTAGGAGCATAATAAAAATTTGGTGAATATGCATAAGATTAGAAGGATATTAGGTATATAAAAATGGGGGCAGTCACATCAGTTTATTTTAGAATCTGGCAATAGAAAGAAATTAAGAAACAGAACTTGTCGATGAGAGACAATAAATTATAAGAGAGACTTTGTTGGATTACAAAATCTGTATATAAATTTATTAGCAAAATAGTGGTTTCCCTAGACAAGGAGAGCTTGATGACAAAGCAGAGATGAGAAAATTGAAAGGGGAGAAACTGACAAAAGGGAATGAGAGTAAGAACACAGGTGAACAGGATAACCCTTGAAAACAGGAGGGACAAGTCTGAGACTAAAGAGGGGAGGCATATAAAGATATTTTTAAGTGAAGCAGTTCGAAAATGAGATTTTTCTCTAATAATATCCACTACTTTAGGACAGTATGAGGATAATCTTTGTTAGAGATGACTGCCAGTGTAGAGACCTGATTCAGAGACTGACGATTTGTAGAGATATTTTTCCCAAATTAAAAGTTTACTATAGTTCATTAAAATAAAATCACAATGAAACAAGCTTAGCTCTGTGTTAATTTTTTGTTTATATGCAAATTCATATGTACCACCTAACCTGCTTTTAAATGCCAGGACACGCTAATATAAAATCATTATTTAAAAATATGAATTATGATCACATCCAGAAGTGCAACCGATGTATCAACTTAGACTGACACAGTTGTTTTTATTTCTAATAAGGGCCTTCATTTACTTAAAATGTCACTCCCTAGACATCCTATTTCTCTTTTAAACATGTAAGACCACTGCTGTAAAAAAAGAAAATTACACTGAATCAAAAGCCAGTGAAAGTATTGCTTGGAAACTTGATAGGGCTACATAGAATCTTAATCCTGAAAATGCAGTAAAATTTGACTCCATCATAATAACCACAAGAGGCAGATCAATATGACTGAGTTAAGGTCTGTTCTATAAATCATTACTTAGTGAATGAATTAGAAAAAAGATAAGCTGTAACCAAAATGGTGAAGAGTGAGACAGAAACACTGTTCTCTGGAATTAGCTTCCAATAAAATACAGGTTAGGGCTTCAGTAATGGAGAATTATATGTTGTGTGTTGTGGATAAGGGTTTGTTCACTGACAAGACTACCCAGGAATGGAATCTTGGGTTTTGAAGGCAAAGCTTTCACTCTTTAAGTAAAGTAACAACAAAAATAGAAATCTTAAATCACAGATAAAAGCTGAACTTGTATATATGACTATCAAGTGTGAGGTTTGCTAAGTGGCATTATGCAGTTATGATGTAAGGGCTGTTCATCTGTGAATTATTTTTTATTGTCTAAATTGTTCCATTCAACAAAACAGCTTTTTATTTAGTATTGACTACACACAAAGTACTGTCTAAGAACTGTAGGTAATTCAAAGGTGACACGGATTGGTCCCTGACCTCCAAATATTTATAGTGTTATGGGTGGAATAATTTACATATATTTAAAAATATCGGCCGGGTGCGGTGGCTCACCCCTGTAATCCCAGCACTTTCGGAGGCTGAGGTGGTGGGATCACGAGGTCAAGAGATCGAGACCATCCTGGCCAACATGGTGAAACCCCATCTCTGCTAAAAATACAAAAATTAACTGGGCATGTCATGCCTGTAATCCTAGCTACTTGGGAGGCTAAAGCAGGAGAATCACCTGAACCCGGGAGGTAGAGGTTGCAGTGAGCCAAGATCGCGCCACTGCACTCCAGCCTGGTGACAGGGCAAGACTCCATCTCAAAAAAAAAAAAAAGAAAAAGAAAAGAAAGAAGAAAAAATATATATATATAGTGCAAAGGGTTCTATTTAACATTATCATGAAGGTTCAAATAAAATTCTATCAAAAATGGGAAAATGTTTATACTCTCTTTAGCTTTAGAAAAATATATTGTGTTAATTCTTTCAGTGTTTTTTATCTTTGCATTATTGTAGATTAGCACAGTACTGGACCGATGCAAAATAGATATTAAATAAATATTTGATTAATAAAAATTGCGAAAAGAGCATTAAAAACTTCTTTTAATTTTAATTTTTTCTCAGACCTCTCAGAGATGAAGAATATTAAAACCTTTAAGAGATAAGGTAGGATTTATTAATTTAATAAAAATGTTTATTGACAACTTTCTATTGGAGATAAAACCCTTGACAAGGTTGTCACATGCCTTTGTCCTCATGAAGCTTCTAGTCTGACAGAATTTGATTTTTGAAGTCTTCCAGTAAATTTGAACTATGGTAACACCATGAGAGTTTGGAAATTAAGCAAAGGAAGAAAAAAATATTTCTGTTATGGCAGAAACAGTTATGGGAGTCAGTGTGAAGCATTTGACTAAGACGTAGTCTTGTAATACTATGGTTAAAGAGTCAAGCATCATGCTTGAGAGGGGACAAAAATGTATCTAAGGGAAAGTATAAATCCCATTTATACTTTGCTCATATAGTCAAAATTTAAAATTGAGTTTTCCATCGACACCAGCCAATGTTCATTTCATATCCTTTGTTTGTTTGTTTGTTTTTGTTTTTAGGCAGAGTTTCACACTCTTGTAACCCAGGCTGGAGTGCAATGATGTGATCCTGACACACTGCAACCTCCGCCTCCTTGGTTCAAGCGAGTCTCTTGCCTCAGCCTCCTGGGTAGCTGGGATTACAGGTGTATGCTGCCACACCCAGCTACTTTTTGTATTTTTAGTAGAGATGGAGTTTCACCATGTTGGCCAGGCTGGTCTCTAACTCCTAACCTCAGGAGATCCACCCGCGTCGGCCTCCCAAAGTGCTTTTGAAGTAGTCTTTTTGATGACTCAGAGGTGGAGAAGCAAAAGACACAAAGTAGGTGAGGTTGACAGAAGCAGGGAGTTTAAGAATGAGAGTGTGGAAATGCAGTAACAAGAGGAAACGTAGAGAGATAGACTTGGGTCAGATCATAAAAGGCTCTAAATGCCATGCTAAGGAGTTTGCACTTGATCTGATGCACAATGAGAGACAAAGCTTTTTGAAGAGGAAAATGTGTTGACAAAAGTGGGAAAATTGGCCTGCAATTCTTGGCAGGATGGAATGAAAGGAAGAAGCTTTGAGGGGGGTAAGTCAGAATCATTTAGTACCCTTCTGGAATGCCAAGAGTTCCAGTTCCATGGGAATGTTGGCTATCTGTTCATAGCTCTGGGTACTATGTAGTATGCAGTAAATAGTTGTTGAATTAATGAAATGGTCATGTTTCTCTTATTGGGAAAGTCTGTAATTGTTAACTTCAAGTTTATAACAGGTTTCCTTGATTAAGAGCTTTACAATTTATGTACTAACAATGTTTTCCATTTAAAATGCCTTGGGAAATTTCAAGTCTATTTATAATCACTGATGTCAGTGAGAAGAACAAAAAGCTAATTTACAATTCATTATTCAGCCATTATTCTACCCCATGGGTGGGACTAATGAACATTAGGTTATAGGTGGCAAGCATGTTGATAAGGGAAAGAATAGCAGGTCCTAAAGATGAATTGTAGCTCAGCACTCTTATCAGGCTCAATAAATAGAGCCTTTCAAGATAATTCAATACATTGAGTTGCTATTGAAATAGGGAAAATGTATGTGTTCTAATTTTTTTGGTAGAGAAAGTAATCTTTTTAAGGATGTTCCTGTTTCATGTGTTTGAGGTTTGTTCCCTCAGTAGACTGACAGCTGATAGGAGTCATGATGTATTCCGTGTTCCTGTACACAATATATAGTGCCAACTAAGGGTTTTTTATTAATGTATAAAATGCCAAAGCACTCCATGTGAAAATTCAAAATCTTTGCCATTGGATTGCTTCTTACAGGTGGAAAGACCATATTGATTTCATTATTATGCATTTTCTACAAATAAAATTCAAATTCAGAAAAACACAAGTAGCTTACATTTATTAAATGCTTATTATGTGCCAGGCCCTGGTGTAAGTTGCTTACATAGAAGAATACATTGATTCTTCACATCAATGTATAAAGTAGATGTTATCTTATCTCTGTTTTATAAATCAAGAAACTTGATGCAAGGAGAAGTTAAATAAATTATCCAAGAGGATGCAACTACTAAAAATGGGGAGGAGAGATTTGAACACAGTCTGATTTTAGAGCCCATAATCTACACTAGGGGTCAGCAAATTTTTTTTTCTGTAAAGGGCCAAATAGTAAATATTTCAGGCTTTGCAGGCCATACGGTCTCTGTCACAATTACTCAACTCTGCCATTTAGCACAACATAGCCATAGACAATATGTAAATGAATGAGCATGGCTGTGTTCCAATAAAACTTTATTTATGGACACTATAATTTGAATTTCATATAATTTTCATGTGTCACAAAATAGTATTCTTTTTTGATTTTTCTCTCTAACCATTTAAAAATGTAAAAATCATTCTTAGTTTATGAACCATACAAAAACGGGAAGAGAAGCTCTGGTCTGGGCCCATAAGCTGTAGTTGGCTGATCCTTGCTCTAAACCACAGTGCTATTTAGCCTCTAGGAAAAGGAATGCAGAACCACCTAAGAAGCCACTTGGACTCTGTTAGGAATCTAAGCCACTTAGACTCCAAAGGAATTGGGTGGAGAGCTTTTAATTTTTATGCTGCATTAAGGATGAACATGAGGAACTGGTAAAGGAAAGATTGCGGATAGACTTAAAAATAATTTATTGGAAGAAATGGCAACTAAAACCCCAAACAGGTTCCTGAGGATGGTGGTAAGATCTTTTTACGCCTGTATCGATTTGCCACAGGGACAATTACTGTTCAGAGATATGGCCTCTTCTTAGAATAGTAAAGGAGATAGTAAAACAGAGATGTTAGAGGAGAGGTACCAACTTTCTTGACAAGTGATAACTACATTAAAGGGTGCTAAATCATGAGATGGCCAAATCTAGCTGGCTGCTGGTTTTGTACTGTCCATGGGCACTACTCCAGCAAGCTAGCTCAACAAGCCATGGAGACCACTGGGCCAGAGAGAGATAGGGGTCCAAGGATTTCCTTCCCCATTTTCCCTCCACACCCAGAAACTGCCTCCCCAGTCACCCCATGCCCTGCCCAGGGTCAGTGCAGGTTGGGGGCTCCCCTGTTGGCAACTGGTGGGCACCAAATGGTAGAATACCAGTCTAGTGAATCACCTTACCTCTGAGCAGCTGCCCAAGTTGAAATGGCCATGCTAGCTCTGGGTGTCACTGGGGCAGACAGAGACCAAATATGGCAGCCACCTATTCCACTGCCTGCTGGACCCCTCCCTATCTGTCTAGTGCATACTTGCCCTGAGAAAGTCTTCTTTAGATAGCAACTGGCTGCAGAGTGTCCCTGCTTCCCAGAATATCCACCCCAGACAAACAGGGCAGGATGGAGAGGGGTTTTCTCTCTTGTTATATAAGTACATGCATTATACCCTCAATTTTGCCTCTTGGTTCACAAAACCTAAAATATTTACTATCTGGTTCCCCAAAATTTCCAACCCCTGACCTAGAACATTGCAGAGACCACAGAAACAAAGAGAAAAGAGGGAGAGGAAGAGGAAGTTGACTTGAATTAAAAGTTGTAAGATTTGGCAACAACTTAACACATTCAGTATTTCACTTGACAGAAGGGAAACAATTGAAGCTTAAGCAAAATATGTGACTGACAATTTTTGTCCAGAATAATAAGTAACAACACATCATTGTCTCTCAAAATGGTGCCCTCATGAAGTTGTTCATGAAATTTAACAATGTTGCCATCTCTCCAAAACATTTTGATACCTTTCTTTTGGAGATGTCCCCTGAATTTACACATTGCAAAAGATGTCAGAGAAGGAAAGTCATGTAGAATTTTAGAGTGGAAAGGACATTTGAGATCACCTTATTGTGTTATAGTGATGTAGCCCCTTCCACCAAATAGGTTAGCTCTCAGTTGATCACTTTCTGATTAACAATACTTGCCTAAGTTTCACTCTGGGTTAAAATGAATTTATTAGTCAAGGATGAAAGACATGTTTCCATCAAGTATAGTGAAAATAATAAACCAAATATTATAAAAGCTATTTTACAAATAGGAAATAAAAAATGTTCTGAGTAACAAAAATGGTCATTTTTAGCAGTAGACAGTAAACTGTTTGGCTATATAAATTCTGGTGAATTTTCTTTAAAAACATCATGCTACTTTATGACCAACCAAATTTTTGATTAATAACTTAATCAAAATAAGTGACAAAATAATTAAGTCCGTCTTAATTCATGTTTCTCTGAGTTTTCTAGATTGCCTGTTAAAATGCATATTTTAAGATAAACACATCAGGCTAAGTATTTTGTCTGAAGTATAAATCAAATCAATTTTTAAATAAAGATAGACAAAAAGGGAATGCCATTATGATCATTCTATTATTATAGCAAATAATTCTTCTTAGGAAAAGATAAGGACAGTACTTTTTTTCAACCACCAGGATGGTAGCTAGATTTTTTTTTTTTTTTTAATTTCACAGAGATGTGCCACAGAGAGCAACCAAATATAACAACTCCTTTTCACAACCATGTGGAAGCAACTTGCTTCCTGCCATTTCTCTCTCTTGTGATATTCTGAAGTGAAAATGAAATACAGATACTATCAAACTGTGGCTATGACAGATGAAAAAAAAAGATACTTCTGTTTTACTGAAGTGCATTTGTTTTCCTCCTCCATTCTGTAGGAAGCATCACAAACCCACAGAGTCCCTGAGAGATGGATTTTACTGGGAGGCGGAATGCTAACTTTGCTCAAAGATGTGTAAATGCCACGTGCCCAGATGGTCCTTTTGCCTATTCATAGGGAGAGGCTCAGAAACACACATGCATCTTTCTGTGG
This sequence comes from Homo sapiens, assembly GCF_000001405.40. Taxonomy (NCBI): domain Eukaryota; kingdom Metazoa; phylum Chordata; class Mammalia; order Primates; family Hominidae; genus Homo; species Homo sapiens. Next base: position 156,748,385 of record NC_000002.12, read on the forward strand.
TCAGTCATAACAGATTTGTTCTAAATAAGCCACACTGTTTTGCAAGATGGCAGGGAACTGTCAGGCTGTATTTTAAGCACAAATGTTTCTGCCAGACAGACACAGCATATACCATGTGCTTCAGGAACACACACACATGCGGCATTGATCTGAGGACAGAATATGGACCTGTGTTGTCATTTCGCAGCTCAGATCAATAAGCCCACGTTACACTTCCTATACAGACCTTCAATTGATTTAAGGATTTCATGGCGATCATCTAATATAAAGATAGGGAAAGATAAGTACAGTCAGACAGATAGAGGGGTAGATATTCCTTTTTATCCTTTACATATTAATGTTCTTTTGCCAAGGCTGATTCTACATATTGCTCCTGAAGGAGTCATTGTGCTGGGGGAGATCTAGTCATCTTAACTTATTTTTACTATGGTCCTTTATTTCCACTGAGTCACTTTCCACTGAAGTTTTAACAAAGGTAGAACTTAAGCAGCTATTTACACTTGATATCTTGTACGTTATCAGGTAGAGGCTTTGGAAATTTACAATCTAAGGTCGATATTCTAAGATAGAAGAAGTAACAGAGATTTATTTGGAGAAAGAGAAACAACTTTTAATTTCAAAAACTACCTTTCAGAGGTTAAGTGTAATTCAGGGTAAGGGACAAGAATATTTATATAACAATGCTGCTAACCAAACTGGGAAAGACCTTTGGGACTTCCAGTTTCAGGTGGTGTGGGATTGTGACTTTCATCTGATTTGTCCTGACAGGCAGCCTGAAGCAGATGGACGAGGGGAAACCATGTTACAAGAAGACATAACTAGATGTGAGGGATAAATAGAAGTGAATGTTGGACCAAAGAGGAGGAAAAAACAAGTCTCTCAATGTAGCTAACAATTAATTGATTAACTAGTTAATTATATCCTACCTCATTCCAAACACAATAGCAGGAGCTGATAAAGATGCATATTCTGAACTTGATGGTGAATAAATGAGGAAGATAAATTAGGGTAGACGAGAGAAAAACAAATTCAAAAGTAAAGATTATATTCTAAATATTGCTTCTAAGAACTTTGCCAGAGATGGCTTGCAAACTTGACTTTGTGCTTCTGAGCAAACAAGTGAAATAACATCAGTTGCAAGATTCATAGTGTTTACAGGGTAAAATGGGACCAGATTCTTAGTTTAATCCCAACTATTTCTAAGAAATGTCTCTCCTGGACTTCATAAGAGGACACTTTGATATAATAAGCAATATCTAACAACATATTTGTGGTAAGAACAGTAAGTTCTGTTAGATTTTCTAAAAAATAGACTTTTTCACATTTAATACAGATGTAACCCCCAAGTACATTTCCACAAAAACAATTCTATTTCAAACTTTTAAAAAAAAGTGGCCAGTTAATTTAAAGATAAAGTTGAATGTCTAGAGGGATGGAGGCCATACAAATTTCAGGCAATTCCCAAAAAATATGATTTTTTTTACCGAATGTTGATTATTTTATAACAAAAGATAAAGATGTGAATATTGTATTTGGAGATATATATATCTCTCCAAATATACATATATATACATATGAAGGAGTCGTGTGTGTGTGTGTGTGTGTGTGTTTGTGTGTGTGTATATATATGTATGTATATATATATATATATATATGAATGACAGAGTCTTGCTCTGTTGCCCAGGCTGGAGTACAGTGGCATGATCTCAGCTCACTGCAACCTTTGCCTCCCAGATTCAAGCGATTCTCGTGCCTCAGCCAGCCAAGTAGCTGGGATTACAGGCATGTCATGCTTGGCTGATTTTTGTATTTTTAGTATAGATGGGGTTTTGCCATTTCGGCCAGGCTGGTCTTGAACTCCTGGCCTCAAGTGATCCACCAACCTCAGCCTCCCAAAGTGCTGTGATTACAGGCATGAGCCACTGTGGTAAGCCCCTGTTTGGAGATTAAGGGCAGATTTATCTGCATTGGACATCAGGCAAAATTAAGGGTAGGTTTCAACACTTTTTATGAATTTAGACAATACCAGGTAGAACATACCACACATATATAACTGAATAAAATACCACCCACTGTCAAGGCCAAAATTTTCACTAAAAAATAACACCACAAAGACAAATAGCCATTTGGGGCTTCTGTATTGGAAACAACTTTAACATGTTTTGACCATTTAAAGGAAATGTGCGATACGACCAAGGAATCCATTTTTATTATGTTGCAATCAACAATGTGGGATGAGAAACGGGGAATGAAAATTTGGAAATGTTAGGTATACGGGTCACAAATTAAAATATGACATCTTAATAAACTATGTTAAAACCAATCAGGAAACCCAGCAATGTATTTGCAGCCTGTAATGCTAACATCAAACCAGCCTAGGAAATTTCCTTGGGGATTAATGACCAGAGGGAATTAATGGCCCTTGGCTTCACCTCAAGCCATCCACTTTCCTAGCCAGTCATTAATCCTCGGAAATGTCCCAAGTCTCAATCATTACAGCTTAATTGAGATGTCACGAAAAGGGTTAAAGAAGTTTTGACTATTTTACTACATGAATACCAGCAGTGAAATGCATTTAGAATCCGTGTTTAAAAGACTGTAATTGCCTCAGATTCTTTATATTATCATAACTCTTCAAAATTGATTGGTTTTAGGTTTATGGAAAAATATGCAAATTTACAGAGGATATGACACACATTTCTCATCGTGGGAATAAAAGTAGTTCACACAGAATTCATTTGATTGAGTTTGATTACTGAACAAAATCTAATTATTTTAGATACATGATCAGACTTTTCTGGAGATGTATATTGTAGGAAAGAAGTATTTGGCATTTGTGATTGTTTATCCGTTAAAATGTGTCATGTTAAACAATGGCTACTTGGAGGCCCATCATTTCTAGGAAACACTGTCAGGAACTACCTATTCAAACAAACAAAATAATTTTTTAAAAGCCTCCTTTTTCACTTACTCAGGATGGGCATACACTTAGCCTATGTGGAGAGGAGAAAAGACCAATCGCTTCTGCCTCAGCATTTTGGAACTCTGTTTTCTAAACAACTTCTCCAATCAACTTCTAAAGATGCTTCATTTGCCTAAGAATAGGCTTCTACCAGGCAATGGAGAATGGATCAATCAGAATCATAGTGAAAGTGACTGATCAGAATAAAAGTAATTAGAAAATTATCCCAATAAGACAATACTTTTTAAGTGTAATGTGTGGAAAGGGAACAAATTCACTAGGAGTAGCTTATGCTAGGAACAGTATACATCTGATTATACTCCTTGTAGTTCCGATGCTGGCTGCCTGCCAACCAAAGGAACCCCTCCTAAATTCTGATAATTAGTAACCATGTTTTACCCAATAAGTAGTGTCAAGAGTTCATCAGTTTGCAAACTTTTTCACTCTTCTATTTTTGATTTTCTTCTCTGGACTCAGTTCTGAGGAACAGAACTATTCCATTCTGTCACAGCCTTGAACGCTAATTGTCTGAGCATGGTGGGTGTAAGTGTATATGTGAGCATGTGATCAAAGAGTATTGACAGCGGATTTCAACATTACTTTCAACGAGTCACTTTCTGCAGTGGCTATATCTAAATCAGTTGCCCACTCACTTTTGGAGTAGCTGTGTTTTAATAACACTCTTTGGGAAGGTTTCAGAAAATTTAAGCATGCTTTCCTGGATATAAGTGGGATTTTTCCTGCCTTTGTGAAAGTTGTCAAAATCAAAATGGATTCATTTGTATTAAAAAAGAAAGAACACCTGACAAATAGAGCCAGATAAGTCCTTGAAGAGAAGGGTTCTCATGCATAAACGCCTGATAACAAAAATCAGCACCAAAATCTACAAAACTGCAACCTTGCACAAAGGCCATCAAACAAAAAGAAGTATTTACCCAATAAATACTTCTTAAGTACATCTGCCCAGCAACTGCTGGTCCAACCTCAGGCTGGCATCACCCTTGTTATTGATCCTTGTGCCAAGGATAATTATTTCAAACCAATTATGTAATATTCCTCATTTTTCCTTTAAAAACCTTCGTCTTCCTTTACCTCCCTGACAATGCATATAGTTTACTGTGGCACATGTATTCCCATTGCAATGCCCTATTCCAAAATCAATGTCATTTTCTTTTACAGTGGCCCTCTCTGTTATTTCGGGTGACACCTTAAACTGCTAATTTAGGCCTAGAGCTGAGGACAAAGAGATGTTATGTAACCCACGAAGGGAGCTGAAGGGAGCTGACAACAGTAAGGGCCAGACCACTCCCTCAGGATTTATTATTAAGAGACCTGTGGGCTAATTTTGATCTGTCTATCCACTACCCAATACCTCAGCACCATCCCAGGCTAAATAGACAGAGGAGGCATCAAGGGGTCACCTGGGTCATCAAGAATATTAAGATCCCCACAAGTTCAAACTGGGGGAGGAAATTCCAAGAGAATCATCCTCCTCAGGTGTCCAAGGGTGAGAATATAGTCATAGGTTCTTAGTTTCTGTTTCTGGTTGGGTCAGTAAATCTCCTTCCTCGTCCCTCTTTTCTGCTTATCTACTAGAGACAGAAACTAAAGACCATGGCTTCAGAAGCTAAAAGCCTAAAACAGAATAAAATAGAGCAACAACAAAATAAGGCAGGTTGGACAAGCTCGCTAGAGATTGAGGCACCTGGAAGGCTGGCGTCTCAGTCCCTAAGTCAGACACCTGCTTGGTCAGTGGACTTGTTAATCTGCTCTGAGCCTACCTGAGCAGGAGAAAAGAGGACTGAAGAGAAGTAGCAGTGCAGAGATACAAATAGCTAAGGTTTAGAAAGGGTATAGAAATTTCCTTTTGGGTTAAGAGACGCTTGGAAGGAGACAGGTTTCCATTGTCTTGTTAGTGTCCAGGCCATGAAAGTGTCCCTAAGATTGCGGGGTGAATTACTAGTGGCACACACATCCACAAACCATTGCCTGGAGCCAGACTGTCAATGAAAGAGGTGAAAGTTTTGATCCAGATATGAGATGGGAATTTTAGACTGGTCTAGACTGGACTTTGAATATGTGGGAGGAGAAAGAACTGAGAAAATGATAGGCTCCTTCCAGAATACTTAACTAGTGTGGAAGGGAAATTCAACAATATTTTATGCTTATGCCTTTGAGTGGAGATAATTCAGTAGATTGACTACTTAGATAATAGATCCAGGAATGCCTCATGATGACCTATGTGTCCTGGATGCTTATCACTCTTTGTGTGACTTGTCAAGTTATCAGTTCCCATATTGACAGAATCGTTAGATTCTGATATCAGAACACCAGACGATTTATTAAAAGATTTTTTTTCTGGTTCTCTTTGTCTGGAAGAGTCAATTGGTTATCTTTATTTAATCTTTAGTACATTTACTAGTATACAGAGCCAAAATAAATGCAATTATCAAAGGCACTTAATCTTGTTTTTTGAGGTACTGAGGCTAAAGCATGAGAATCTCTTTTGATATTTTTTCTGTTCTCTTTTATCATGTCCAGTATATCAACAAATCCTGTTATTCTGTCATCTAACTATTTTTCTCCTAACTCCCTCCACTGACATCATCCTAGTTCAAACCACTGGTATTTCTCCCTTGAAGAAATAGCTACTTAACGGTTCTCACTGCTTTTACTCTTGCCCTTCTACTGTTTATTTCCACCTAGCAGCCAATCATGAAAACCTAAGTTTAATCATAACATTTCTCTTGTTAGAAGTTTCCAGTGTCTTTACAGAACACATTGAGTAAAGGCCAAAATCCTTACAATGGCTTTAGAGGCCCTACAAGATTTGTGCACCCCCTCCCCATTTCTCTGACATAATCCCTTATCATTCTCCCTTTTTGTGGTGATCTCCCCAACCAAATGTCATGTATTCTGAAAATAGTAAGAGTTAATATTTGTTTGGCACCTACAATATGCCAGACACATTCTAAATACTTTTCCAGTATTACACAGTTAGTAAGTGGTGGAGGTGAGATTTCTCTCAAGCAGCCTAAGTCCAGAACCTCTACATGCTGAATCCCTATACCATACTACCACCCAGTGTGTATGTATGTATGCAGAGAGTATGTATCCATGGAGATACTATGTTTCTAAATGATCAGTGTTTCCCACTAATTAAAACAAGCCTTCAGAGCTAAGCAGAACTGGATTCCCATCCTGGGTTTCCCTCTTCTTAGGAGTGTCATCTTAACAACTCCCTCCCAGGATTATTGTAAGGGTTTAATAAGAATATAAATAAATAAACTGTGTGTGGGAGGAGGGGCAGGTGGCACAGTGCTCTAAACATTGTAAATTTTATTATTATACTTATTTATATGTCTCCCCCCAAATTAATTTTTCCATTCTTAAGCCTCTTATAATGTTTAAATTTAGACATTTTGGAATCTATATTAAAATGATTTATGACTATATAACTGTATTAAAAATTTGTAGACAATTAACTATATCTACTACATTGTCAAACTGTAGGCCAAGAAGGAGGAGTGGCTCTTTTATTTGTAATTCTGCAAAAGGTATTCAAGACTACAGGCTTTTCATTTTACTTATTTCAGGAAATTTTTTTCAAAGAGAATAATTTACATTGAAGCAGACAAACATACACTAACATTTTATCTTGATGCAAATTAAAAGTGACAAGGTATGATCTGGAATAGCAAAGTTTATAATGGAAACAGCAAATAAACTTTAAATAGGGCATCACAGTCTCAAAGCTGGTTTTATTTAGAGGGAAAAAAGTGGTTATTAGGGCTACACAGGGGGCCAACATGAGTCTATGCATCTAATGTCATGATTATAGTCAAACATTTTGTCATGTTAGAGTCAACAAGAACTAGCTTACTATTATAAAACATGATCTTTAAATGAACAAAATACGCTTTTCAGATAGAGCCTCTTGAATTTCCACATCACTATTAGCTTCAAATATTTTCTTTGCATTTGAATCACTTCAAATATTTTCTTCGAGTCATATTTGCTGTATTAGCTAACCAAAAGCCTGATTTCAGATTCTTAGGTGGTGCTTTCACCACCTTGAAATCTCTATAAACCTCGAATACATTATGGGTGTTCAGTAAATACTTGTGGATTAATTGGATGGCTCACTGATTAATGACATAATGTTCCTCACAAATGCATGAGGCTATTTTTGCATTGCTATAAAGGAATAACTGAGGCTGGGTAATTTATAAAGAAAATAGGTTTTATTTTGGCTCACGATTCTGTAGGCTGTACAGGAAGCATGGTACTGGCATCTGCTTCTGGTGAGGGCCTCAGGAAGATTACAATCGTGGCAGAAGGTAAAGGAGAATCCAGCACATCACATGGCAAGGGAAGGAGCAAGAGAGAGAGGGAGGTGGCACAGTCTTTTAAACAACCAGCTTCTACATGAGCTCAGAGCAAGAATTCACCCATTATGGTGAGGACAGCACTAAGCCATTCATAAGAGATCCAACCCTGTGACTTAAACACCTACACCCAGGCCCCACCTCCAACACTGGGGATTACATTTCAACATGAGATTTGGAGGGGAGAAACATCCAAACCATCTCAATAAATATTAGTATCTCTGTCTCTAAATGTCTAATAATGCACACACACAAATGGCACTATTTTAAGCACTTGACATATATCAGTGTATAAGAAGTCATTTAATCCACATGAAACCCCTCAGAAGTGGTTAGTAATATTGTCTCCATTTTGCAGATGAAGCTATGAAGGCATAAGGATAGTAGATGACATGTCTGTGTCACACAGCAATGTGTCTAATTTGGGATTTGAATCTGGGCAGTGTGGTACCACGGAACACACTTCTAACCACTACATCATGTGGCCAACATCAGGATTACTATCTATCTTGGTGAATATGTGTTCTAAACATCTAACAATGCTAACAGCTGCTGCCACAAAACATATAGATCACTGTTTGTGATGCCTTCTTTTTTTTCTCTTTATAAACTGGGTTATATTTTCTATACCATTTTCCAGTTGTTGGTGCTGTTTACTTTTTAAAAAAATTATTATCATTTGTTTTTTAGAGATGGGGCCTTGCTGTGTTGACCAGGCTGGTCTCAAACTCTTGGCCTCAAGTGATCCTCACATCTCGGCCTCCCAAAGTGCTGGGATTACAGGCATGAGCCACCATGCCTGGCCTGGTAATGCCTTTCAGTTATTTGCTGTGTTTTACCATAGCCCTTGTGTCTGTTTCTCATTTGACTCCTGCACTGGCCTTGGCCCATTTTCTATATTACTTCTCATCTCTAACACTTCCCTAAAGTCTCTTTAGCACACAGCTGCCTTTTCATTTTATCATATGTTGATGGACTCTGACTCATAAATATTTGTTTCATTTTTTTTGGAAGCATAGTAACATATGATTATATCCTTATGCAGCTATCAAATTATATTTGCTAAGCACCATCATTGCTTATAGCTATTATTCAAATCCCTTAAGGATTTGAAGGGATTATCCAACTTTTTGAAGGGACTGAGATCCCATTTGCTTACAAGAAAGCAAAAGGATGTAATCTTGCTATTCTTTGAGATAATTTTAACCCATGTTATTGACCCTTAAAATATCCTTTATTGGTAAAAGCAGTAATATTAATTTTTGCTTCTGTAAAATAGAGATAATGAGGCAAGAAAAGTAAAAGTCCCCGTCTTACAGTCTGTTGTATTCTTAAACTCAAAATACTCGCTTTAGTCTGGGCATGATGCCTCACGACTGTAGTCCCAGCAATTCGGTGGGGCTGAGGCAGGTGAATCACTTGAGCCCAGAAGTTCGAGACCAGCCTGGGCAACATGGTGAAACCTCGTCTCTCCAAAAAATACAAAGAAATTAGCTGGAGTCTGAGGTGGGAGGATTCCTTGAGCCTGGGAGGTGGAGGCTGCAGTGAGCCAAGATCGTGCCACTGCACTCCAGCTTGGGCAACAGAGTGAGACTCTTCCTCAAAACAAACAAAATAAAACACAACTCACTTTATTTTGAAGCAATCAGAAAGTATATCATATCAGGGATAGGAAATGATGATTAATATTTTAGAAAGTTACATAGGGAATAGTGCCACCTTTACAAATATCTGCTCCATGATGATCTTTGGGCAAAAGAATGTAGATGGCTAAAAACAGTGGCCACGTAAACAAGACCAACAGGGCTACTGTGACACAGAGAGTCCACCTCTTTTATCCCTCAGTGACATAAGCATTTTCACATCTCTGATTTTTTTATGGATGGTGCCTGATTTTCTGGTTTTAAACTTATTGATGGCAGTTTTTTGAAGGTAACGTAAAATAGCTGCACAATTGAATGCCATCTTAACTAGTCCACACTCTTCTGGATCTCTTCCGTGGTTTCTATTGAGTTTACTCTTAGCAACGGCTAAAATGGGTTGGATCAATAGAATTTCCCTTAGAAACTAATCTACTTCACACAGCATCTCTTAGATGACAAAATAACTGCTTAAAAAATAGAAAATCACATCTCTTAACCAAACATCCCAAATAACTAGTTATGTTGGCTGATTAATTACTTTCTCAAGTTAAGTGAAAATATAAATAGAATGAAGTATTAGTTCAGTTAAAGTTGGGTTTAAATTATTGTAATTAATAACATATATAGTTTGTATTCTAGATTGAATGAGTTCTCTAACCACTTATTTGGTTTAAAATTTATAAAAATGAAGAGTTGAATTCAGTTTGTTTAGTAGGTGCAGCAATTTTTACAGTTTGTTCTAGTTTTGATTTGCAATTTTGTTTTTGTTTTTGTTTTTGTTTTTGATTTGCAATTTTATTCTGCCTCATTTATTGGAATTGACCAGCCTGGCATTTTGCCATCTTAATTTCTCATTTCTTTACTTGTTATGATTTGGGATATTTGTATTTGCTTATTTTTTCAGCATATACACAAGAAGTTTTCAGAGAGTCTAAAGGTTTTTTTTTTTTTAATTTTTAATGGAATTACTTTTCAAAGTTGTTGTTCTGATTTTTTTTTCTGTTTTTTTCCTATTTTACTCAGTTGCAAATCAGCTAAAGAGCAGGTGTTTGGTGTTGGTGCTTTTTAAAAAAGCAATTCTCACTTAAAAGAGTGTTTTATTTCAGGAGAAAATTAGAAAATGTATTTAACCCTTTCTGACATTTTTCAATTATGGATTTTTTAATGAAAGTTTTCTTGTCAAAATTTATTACTTTGCATAATTTTGATTTTTAAAATTTAACTAAGGAATGATTTGGTGAATTAGAACTTAAAGCTGCTTAATTCTGACAGATAGGATTATTGGCTTTGGTTTCTTTGTCTTTTCCTGTTGCCGGAACCAAGTCCTCCTGAATCATTATTTAATCTATAATCCTATAACTTCATTTAAGGTGTTTAAGTGCATAAGCATGTTCAGATTCATTTTGCTTTATTATTGCTTAATAAAACTAAATACAAATGAATGAATTACATAATTCAAACAAAATATACGTCTGAGTTATAGCTAATTTTTTAATGCCAAAATTTGAAACTCTTTTAAAATTAAGAGCACTCATTTCAAGCAAACTATTTGAAGAACTTTTAAAAATTAAACCACCAAAAGGGGGAAAATATTTATACATTTTTAAAAGATAATTATTAAATCATGTTTCTTCAATACAAAGTGTTATATTAACATTATCACAATTATATACTTATGAATCCTCATAATGGCAAAATCATAAAATTTACATCCCTCTCCCATCCAAATAGCAAAAGTTGCTGGCTTAAAATGTACTAATTTAGAAAAAAACTATTTACAAATTCATATGAAACCAAAAAACTGTCAAAATAGCTAAGGCAATTCTGAGCAAAAAGAATAAATCTGGAGACATCATGCTACCCAACCTCGAACTATACTGCAGGGCTACGGTAACCAAAACAGCATGGTACTGGTACAAAAACAGACACATAGACCAATGGAACAGAATAGAGAGCCTAGAAATTAGGTCACACATCTACAACCATCTGACCTTCAACAAAGCTGACAAAAACAAGCAATGGGGAAAGGACTCCCTATTCAATAAATAGTGCTGGGATAACTGGCTAGCCATATGCAGAAGATTGAAATGGACCCCTTACTTACACCATATACAAAAATAGACTGAAGAAGGATTAAAGATTTAAATGTAAAACCCCAGCTATAAAAACCCTGAAAGACAATGTAGGCAATATCATCCTAGGCATAAGAACTGGCAAAGATTTCATGAAGATGTCAAAAGTGATTGCAATGAAAACAAAAATTGAAAAATGAGATCTAATTAAACTTAAGAACTGCACAGCAAAAGAAACAGAGTAAGCAGACAGCCTACAGAATGGGAGATAATTTTTGCAAACTATGCATCTGACAAAGGTCTAATATCCAGCATCTATAAAGAACTTTAGCAAATTTACAAGAGAACAACAAACAGCCCCATTAAAAAGTGGGCAAATGACATGAACAGATACCTTTCAAAAGAAGACATACATGCAGCTAACAAGCATATGAAAAAAATCTCAATAATGCTCATAATCAGAAATGAAAACCAAAACCACAACGAGATACCATCTCATCAGTCAGAATGGCTATAATTAAAAAGCCAAAAAATAACAGATGGTTGTGTGGTTCTGGGGAAAAGGGAATGCTTATACACTGCTAGTGGGGGTGTATAAGTTCAATCATTAGTTCTGCCATTGTGGAAAGCAGAGTGGCAATTCCTCAAAGAGCTAAAAACAGAACTACTGTTTGACCCAGCAATCCTGTTATGGGTATATACCTAAAGGAATATAAATCATTCTACCATAAAGACACATGCACGCATATGTTCACTGCAGCACCATTCACAATAGCAAAGACATGGAATCAACCTAAATGCCCATCAATGACAGGTTAGATAAAGAAAATGTGGTACATACACACCATGGAATACTATGTAGCCATAGGAAAGAATGAGATCATGTCCTTTGCAGGAACATGGATGGAGTTGGAGGCCATTATCCTTAGCAAACTAATACAGGAACAGAAAACCAAATACCACATGTTCTCACTTATAATTGGGAGCTAAATGATGAGAACTCCTGGATGCAAAGAGGGAAACAACAGACACTGGGGTCTACTTGAAGATGGAGGGTGGGAGAAGGGAGAGGGTCAGAAAAAACAACTACTGGGTACCTGGCTTAAAACCTAGGTGATGAAATAGTCTGCACAACAAACCTCATGACATGAGTTAACCTATATAACAAACCTGCACATGTACCCCTGAACCTAAAAGTTATTTTAAAACGTACTAGTTTAACTTAAACAACAAATACCACCTATGCATTAACTCAGATTCTTTCCATAAGTCCCCGAGTCTCCTAAGTCCATGGCAGAATATGGTAACATTAGAAACAACTCACAGGTCAGCAAGCTTGAGTTCAATATAACATTCTCAGAGTAGGAGATGTTAAAATTAAATCACTGAGGATAAAACGTTTCTATGGAATAAAATATTGTTAGATATAATCATTACTAATTTTTTTGTACGTAAACACTGGTATATGTTGTTACTCATAGAGCTGATTTGACTATTTGGGGCTATCAAGATGCTTTCTTACTCTTTATAAAGGGAGAAGAAACCTATCACAATCTTTTTTATTCTAAAGTTTGAAGGAAATCCAAGGAGAATCTACATTGTCTTTTTTTTAATGTTTTATTTCAAAATAAAGCTATTACCAGAATAACAATGTGAGTCAGCCAATGTATCAATAAGCAGTTGTGCTAAATTAGCTACATGAAACAGCAGTACCGGCCCAAGCCTGGTAGCTCTGCTGGGTGGCTAGCTCCAGAAGAGAATTACAATCACTGCAGTTTGGCTCTCAGGAAGCCCCATCCCTAGGGGAAAGGGGAGATCACCCCATCATGGGAGCACCCTGTGGGACAAAAGAATCTGAACAGCAGCACTTGAGTCCCAGATCTTCCCTCTGACATAATCTACCCAAATAAGAAGAAACCAGAAGAACAATTCTGGTGATACGACAAAACAAGGTTCTTCAGCACCCCCAAAAGATCACACTAGCTCACCAGCAATGGATCCAAACCAAGATGAAGTCCAAATCAAGATGAGATCTCATGCATAAGTCTCATGAGATCTGATGGTTTTATAAGGGGTTTCCCCTTTTGCTTGGCTCTCATTCTCTCTGTCGCCTGCTGTCATGCAAGACATTCCTTTCACCTTCCACCATGATTGTGAGGCCTCCCCAGCCATGTGGAACTGTGAGTCCATTAAACCTCTTTTTCTCTATAAATTATCTAGTCTCAGGTATGTCTTTATCAGCTGCATGAGAATGGACTAATACATAGACCAATGGAACAGAATAGAGAACCCAGAATTAAGCCAAATACTTACAACCAAGTGATCTTGGACAAAGCAAATAAAAACATAAAGTGAGGAAAGGTGCTGGGCCAATTTGTCAGCCATATGTAGAGAATGAAACTGGATCTTCATCTCTCACCTTATACAAAAATCAACTCAAGGTAGATCAAAGACTTAAATATAAGACCTGAAACCTTAAAAATTCTAAAAGATAACATTGGAAAAACCCTTCTAGACATTGTCTTAGGCAAAGACTTCATGACCAAGAACCCAGAAGCAAATGCAATAAAAACAAAGATAAATAGATGGAACTTAATTAAACTAATTAAGTACAGCAAAAGAAATAATCAGCAGAGTAAACAGACAACCTACAGAGTGGGAGAAAATCTTGGCAATCTATACTTAGATTGCCAACAAAGCTCTAATATCCAGAATCTACAAAGAACTCAAACAAATCAGCAAGGAAAAAAACCAAACAATCCCATCAAAAAGTGGGCAAGGACATAGACAATTTTCAAAAGATGATATACAAATGGCCAACAAACATATGAAAAAATGCTCAACATCACTAACGATCAGGGAAATGCAAATCAAAACCACAATGTGATACCACTTTACTCCTGTAAGAATGGCCATAAACAAACAAAAAAAAAATTAAAAAAAAATAGATATTGGTGTGGATGCGGTGAAAAGGGAACACTTTTACACTGCTGGTGGGAATGTAAATTAGTACAACCACTATGGGAAACAGTGTGAAGATTCCTTAAAGAACTAAAGGTAAATCTACCATTTGATCCAGCAATTCCACTCCTGGGTATCTACCTAGAAAAAAAGAAGTCATTATACAAAGAATATACTTGTACATGCATGTTTATAGCAGCACAATTAGCAGTTGCAAAAATATGGAACCAGTCCAGATGCCCATCAGTCAATAAGTGAATAAAAAAATGTGGTAGATATATATCATGGAATACTACTCAGCCAAGAAAAGGAACAAAATAATGGCATTTGCAGCAACCTGGATGGAATTAGAGACCATTATTCTAAGTGAAGTAACTCAGGAATGGAAAGCAAAACATCATATGTTCTAATTCATAAGTGGGAGCTAAGCTGTGAGGATGCAAAGGCATAAGAACGATACAATGGACTTTGGGGACTTGGGGGTAAGGGTGGGAGGGGCGTGGGTACAGTGTACACTGCTCGGGTGACAAGTGCAACAAAATCTCAGAAATCACCACTAAAGAACTTATTCATGTACAAAAGTAAATAAAAATAAAAGGGTTGAGAGTATCTTTGAATATACAAAGGATTTCATGGAGTCAAAGAATAAAGTGGTTTGTATAATTATACTAAAGTCAAGTTTATGTAGAAGAGTGTGTGTGAATGCTGATTAGCCAAAGTCTGGACCATAGTGGCTATTAAACTATTGCCTCTCAACTTCAAACCCATGCTTCCGTATGTACTTGCTTTTATGGTACTGAGGGTCATTTATTTTCAGTTGTTCCCCATTATGCTTTGCCAACAAGAGGCACTAGAGAACATCTAGAAGGCTTAAGGAGTAAAAATAAACTTGTTGCTATTTACTTCCAATTCCAGTCAGGTGATAGCTCTTTACCCTGACGGTGACAATTGAGTCTAGAAATAGCAGCTGATTCCAGTTTACAGTCTTTTTCTATGCTATTAAAACCAGCCTCATCACATATCTCTCAGAAAACACAACACCATCCAGCCCATGCCTCATCCTCAGAGGACTGAGTCCCACCTCTGTGAGCTTTCTCCTTTTAGCTCTTCAACACCAGTGCTAACTCCTCAGAGATCTGCATTCCAATTCCACAGGGCTCTCCTCCATGCCCCTGAGTTTTAATGATTCCAACCTTTTAGCATTGTTTCCCTAGCCTAGGTTTATTAGCAGAAAGTGTCCCCCTTTTGTCCTTTTAATTTTCTAGTAGCCTGTTAACAATTCTGTTTAATCTTTTTTTCTGTTAAAGTAATTGGTATAGTTTCTATATCCTCAAAAACTCTGACCTATATAATGGTAGCTAAAGATAAAGGAATGTATGTCATCACTCAAGATGCCTGCATTAAAGAAGAGATGGGGGCTAAGAGACACATCCTAGGGGACAGAAGAAGGCTTTCCCATGAGAATAATCAGAGAGATAAGATGTGAGTGACCAAAATAACAGCTGAGTAACAGACATTAAGGAATAATCCATGGAGCCATATGGCAGAATGTTCTAAAATGGTTAAGAATAAAATTATTTTTGAGAACTCTGCATTCTCATTACAATGAAGCTGAGGCTCTCTCATTTAGAGGACAAGCTTTTAAAATTCTTAGTCATTTGTGTATGGTGGTCCTCATTTTCTATATAGTCCTGAAAAGGGAGCATTGGATGGTCAGCGAAAATGAAAACAGAGGTGTAAGAATGGTCAGATCACCCATTGGGCACCTGATGGTAGGAACTAGGCCGAAGGTTGTTTGAGACTTTATTTTGTTGTAAATTCCTTGTTTATTAGACTTTTCTTTTGTTCTTTTATTTTGTGGAAGTGTGAAGGGAATTCTTTAAAAAGGGCCAATATTCCCATCCTGTACAAGTTTTTAGTATCCTCTTTCATGGGAAGAATAAACATTTATGTGACTCTGTCCATCCAAAATATAAGGAAAAACAACAAGAACTATGGTTTAAATTAATAATCTCAACTTGGGTTTCAGTATTGAAGTTGGTGGTTTAGACTCTGATAATATAGTGGAACATACTTTGGCAGAACTGAAAAATGTTTACTTTCTACAAAGCAACATTTCCAGGGCAAACTGGAAATAGTTATTTCACCTTTTTGACAAATTATAACTAAACCCCAACAATGAAAGAATGTATTAATTTAAAGAGCAAAGTGGACTAATTGCCATTATTAGAACTGCTAATGATGTACTTTGCTATATAATGAAGAAGGATTATAAACAAAAATGTAATTGTAATTGACATTATAAAAAGTGTAATTAAAATTATCTCATATTTTCATATAAGCTATGATTTTTATGGATGACATTCCCTTTGAAATGTTTTTATCTTAAAGGCTCAGATTTCTTTTAAGTTTGATTGGATTCAAGTCCCTATCTCAATAATCAAATACTTAAGCAATCTGTTTTTTCTGATTCTATAACCTATAAAACTGACTTTTCACACCAAAACTTTCACGTGTAATATTTCCATTAATTTTCATAACCACGAGGCAAGGTAATAATTGGTTATATGTTTATTTGCCTAAAGATAGACATTAGACTATAACTCAGTTTTGACTGTAAAGCTCATGCACTTTCTACTATACCAACTGTTTCCCTCTAACTAACCACAGCTTCCTTTTGTTTTTGGGAGAATATAGGTAGACAAATGGAAATGTGAAACTGATGTAGTAAAGGTGGTACAACACAGGCCCCAGAAGAGTGATTACTTTATAAGATCGCTGAGATAGTGGAAGAACTGACACTATTCCAAGTCTTCTGGTTCCCAGTCAGTTCAGTTTGTGTACCACAACATCCTATGACATCATATGGCTAGACCTGAACTTAGATCAGCATGTTCATAACCACGATTTTAATGCCACTGCCACCAACAGAGAGTTGCTGAATCCCTTGATGGTATTTAATTTTACCCTGAATCCATTAGTCTGGAGTCTAAAAAACACAATTTTAATGAAATAGAACAACTCAATAGACATACTTCTTTGATATATATAAGAGACAGGAAAACTTTGTCAGTTTGTATTGAGTTTCCCATGCAATTAGAACCATTTCTATTGTCATTATTTTTCTTAGAAGATCTAAAGAATTTCTTAGAAGTTCTGCTATATGTGTGACCATAAGACCAAAACCACTTATCCTCTCAATCTGGGAGGAAGAGCTGATAAAGAGCTTCCTCAGACTTTACAAAAAATCATTTCAACTTCACCTTCTCTGAGTTACCCTGGAGCTGAGTTCATAGGCATTTGGGAGGAGAGAACTGATTTTCTCTATGTTACCATGTGGGAAGAATTTATTTTAATGGCTTGTGTTTTGCTATTATGATTGTTGGTAGTGGTCCCGAGGGGGAAGAAGAGAAAGTCAAGTTTGAGAGTGACTGAGTGACATAGCAGAGAAGCCGAAAATGTTTTAAAAACTGAAGTATCCACTTTTCAATTTTAGTTGTTTGAATTCCTATAAAGTATATTCTTTTTATCTCCCCAGATATTTTGGAAAGCCTGCCACACATACAAAGGCATGGAAATTTAGAAGGAGAGACATGGAAATTTAGGAGAAGGAATATGTTCTTTATTTTTTAAGTACTTGTGAGGAAAGTCATTTTTGAAAACTACTTTACTATTAGTATACCATTCTGATTATATAATTCTTCCATACCTTGAGGTATAATTTGTCATTTATTTACCTATTAGTTTGAGCTATCTTTTGAAGCAGTATGCCATAGACTTTTTCATCTTTCACGTGACAATCTTTTGAAAGGTTGAATGCTTAAAGTCAGATATCTTTCCCCACCACACCCCTACTTTATCTTTTCTGTAAGATGAAATACATAGCTCTTTCAATCATTTGTTCCTTTGGCATAATATACTAGAACATTATCTTAGTTAATTTATCCTAAGCATTTGTTAACTCTTTGATATTGTTCTTCAAATGCAAAGTCCAGTAAAGTACATATACCATCAGGCATGACCTCCTGACAATGTCATGTGTGGCAGGATTACTGCCTTCCTTGATAGGAATATTATGTGTCTATTAACATAGCCTAAGACTTCATATTTTTTTCTCTTTTTAAACAAGCTAATAACTTTATTGATTGCTATTGAGATTCTTGTTCCTGTGGGTCTTGTATATGTGAGTTTCTACTGCAAAGCCAACTCATTCTTTATTTGTAAACATTTCTTTAAACCAAGGTGATACATTTAATACTGCGGCTTCTTAATTTTTTTTGAGTTGGTTGATTTTAATTCGCCATTTTAGATCAAGGAAACATTAAAGGATTTTAAAAAAAAAACAATTTGGGGGAGATACTTTTCATGTTGGAAGTCTAGCCCAGCAAGGAGGATGAGAAGTTCCCCACAGTTCACTACAACTGTGCGTACCCATCAAAGACACAAGTTCTTACTTTAGAATTAAGTAAGAACTTAATTCCCACCCCAACAAAGGCTAAAACCTTAGGACCCACAAGGGAGACAGAATTTGGAGGTCAAGTATTATGAAATTAGATCCACTTGAGAAAGAGTTAGAGTTTTTTATAGACTTACCTTAACAAAGCATTAGAAAAAAAAACAACTATGCAATTTTAAGGTAACCAGCCAGTAATAGAATTTTCCATAATAACAAAAATCAACACTCTTCAGATGAGGATAATAGAATGTAAATATGAACAACAATTAACAACATCTAGCACATAATACAAAGTTTCAAAGATGTTTGTGTGTGTATACATGTATAAACTGTCAATAAAAAAGAAGTAAACAGAAGAACCTAAGCCTGGCATGCTTCAGATTTTGGATTAGAAGACAAAGAACTAAAGGAAAATGTGTACAAATAATTAAAAAAAAAAGATCTTATAGAATCTCAGGAAAGAAATGGAGACAAAAAACTCCAAAGAAATACTACCATTGGCAAATATAATGTCTGAAATAAAAATTATTTGGATAGGTTGACAGCAGAATAGAGGTAGATGAAAGAAGAAAGAGTTGTTGAACTTAAGGCAATCAATAGAAAAATTTTAATCCAGAGAACAGAGACACAAATTTTGAATAAAAATGGACATCCTTCAAGTCAATTTCAGTGAAATTATCTTGGAAAACTGAGGATGAAACTTGCAACATGCTTTGAAATGCATTAAAAAATAAGATGGATAATATATAGATAGAATTATGGATAGATAAATAGGCTATTATAAGCATAGTAACATGTTAATTGTGTAATGTAGTTGATAGGCACATTAGTATTCACTGTAAAGTTCTTTTAACTTCACTTATATTTGAAACATTCAATAATAACATATTGAAAAAATAAAAAGATGAGAAAATGATGACACTTCAAATGACAAAAATTTAGACAATGTGTCATAAAAGATCTACACTAAAATAAATTCTAAATACTCTTTAGGCTGAAAAGAAATCATGTCAGATGGAAACTCAATCCTTTAGGTTAGAGATAATATGTCCAGAAATGGTAAATAGATGGATAAATATAAATGATCCTTTTCCCTTCATTATATCTTCAGAAAACAACCGATTATTTTAAAACACAATAAGGGCATTTGAAGATGGGCTTTATATTGTTTGTAGAAATAAAAGATATGAAAACATTTGCAAAAAATGGGATGAAAGGTAAATGCAAGTATTCTCTTGTAAGGTTAATACATTTTGTGAATTGAGAGTTGAGATGTATGAAATATGAAGTGAGAAGTATGAAATATGAAGTATCTGGTGAGAAGTGAGAACTGTGAAGGGTCAATTGTGAACTGTTAAGTGGTATAATATTGATTCTAAATATATTTTTGTAAAAACGTATGTTGCTAACCCAGGAGCAGACCAAAAAAATTAAAAAGACATGCAGCTAAGAAACCAATATTGAAAATAAAATGGAATAGTTAAAAATTTCAATTAACCCCAAAAAGTCAGTAAAGAGACAACAAAGAAACAAAAAAAAAGAGTGAAATAGGAAACAAAAAGTAGAATTAATTATAAATACTATATGAAATACATAAAAACTAAACACTCCAAATAAGACACAGAGTTTGTTGGACTGTAAAAAAGCAAAATCAAATTCTGTCTTATATATGAGGTGCACTACAAATACAAAAATGTAAATAGTTAGAAAGTATAAGAATGGCAAATAATATAGCATGTAACAATAAGCCTAAGAAAACTGCCATGGTTATATTAATATGAGAAAAAGTAGATTTCAAGAGGAAAATACTGTAAGAGATGAGGATAGGCAATTTTTAAATGGTGAAATGGGTAATTCATCAAAATAACACAATTCTATTTATGTATGCACTTAAAAACGAGGCACTTACTTTTGTGAAGCAAAAACTGATGGAAGTAACAGAAGCAATGCAAAACTCAAAAGGCATGGCTATAAATTTGTAACACCCTTCATTCCCTAATTTATGGAACAAGTGGACCAAAAAAATCTGAAGAAATACAAAAAGTCTAAACAAGAAACTTGAATTAATTGACATTTAACAGAACACTAATATGACATAAAATAATTATATTATACACATTATTTTCAAGTATACATCAAATGGTGAACAGAATCAGTTATAATTTGTGTCATTAAATATGTCTCAGTAAATTTCAGAAAGATTGAGGTTTTCAGAGTATGTACTGTGACCACAATGGAATAAGATTAGAAATCAGTAACAGAAAATATCTACAGAATCCCCAAGTGTTTGGAAATTAAATATAGTACTTCAAAGTAACACATGTACTAAATAGGAACTCAAGATTGAAACTGTAAATATTTTAAAACAAATTACAATAAACACAATATATAAAAATGTGTGGTACCTAGACAAAGCAGTGCTTAGAGACAAATCTGTAGCTTTAAATGGTTATATCAGAACAACAAAACAAATGTTCTACAACCAAGGATCTAAGCTTCTAGCTTGAGAATAGACAATGTAAGTAAAAATGGAGCGTTAAAGGTTTTATAAAAAGCAACAAAAAATGGTAAAATTATAAAAAACCAACTTTTTCAGAACTTTGGAAATTAAACAAATGTTTGCAGTAATCAAGGGTTACATATCCAAGTAGGAAAAAGCTTGAATCTTGCCACAACAAAACTTATAGATGTTACAGAATTACTTCAGTAAAGTCACTAAACAAACAACAATAATAAACAGCAATAATATACACAAAGGAGAGAGGGAATCTCATTTTCAGAGTTGCCACATTATATTATTTAAAATGTCCAGTTTTGACACAAAATTACAAAACATGCAAGGACACAGTAAACTATGGCCCACACACAGGAAAAAATGCAATTAATAGAAACTGTCCTTGAGAAAGCTTAGACACTGGATTTACTGGACACAAATTTTGTCAATTATTTTAAATATACTCAAAGAATTAAAGAAACTAACATCTAAAATAATAAGGGAAAATATGAGAACGATGTCTCATCCAAACAGAGAATATAAATAAAGAAAGAAGTTACCAGAAAAAAATGAATTTTGGATTTGAAAAGTAGAATAATGGAAATAAAAAATTCACTAGAGGGGCTCAATAGCAGACTTGAGCTAGCAGAAGTAAGAGTCAGTGAATGTAACAGAGGCCAATTGAGATTATTTAGTTTGAAAATCAGAAAGATAAAAGAATGGAGAGAAATTAAACAGAGCTTCAAAGACCTGCAAAATACCACAAAGTATACCAACTATGTACAATGTAAGTTCAAGAAAGTGAGGAGAAAGAGACAGGGGCAGAATGAGTATTTGAAAAATTTAGCCAAAAACTTCCCAGTTTTTAGAGGGAAGTTTCAAATTTTGGTTGTAAAACCTGTAAAAAAAAATGTAGATTATGCTTTCATCATAATCTATATATCCAAGAAGCTCAATGAACCCCAAGTAGAAAGAACTCAAAGAGCTCCACATTGAGACATATCATATGCAAACTTTTGAAACTGGAAAACAGAGAGAATCTTTAAAGCAGCAAGAAAGAAGAAACTCATCTCCTACAAGGAATACTTAGTAGGATTCACAGCTAATTTCTCATTAAAAACAGTGGAGGCCAAACCAGTGGACTGACATACTGAAAGTACTGAAAGAAAAAGACTGTACACCGGAATTATGTATTTAGCAAAAGTCTCCTTCAGAATTGAAGGAGAAATGAAGACATTGCCAGATTAACAAAAACAAAGAACTCATTACTAACATACTTGCTATACTTGCCCTTGAAAAAATACTAAAGGGAATCCTTTAGGCAAAAAAACAAACAAACAAACAAACAAACAAAAAATTAGATAGTACAGATAGCAACTAGAATCAACATGAGGATATAAAGGGCACTGGCAAAAATAAACTGCACAGGCAAATATAAAAGATAATATTAATGTATTTTTTTTGCATAATTTTTCTAACTGATTTTATTTAAAAACTGGATAAGGTAATACTTAAATCTGCATTGATTGGTGCAAAAATATAAAGATGTAATTTGTATGACAATAACAGCAAAAAGAAGGAAGGAGAGTATAAAGCTATATACACTATACTATTGAAATTAAGTTAGTATAAAATGAAACTATCTTATTATAAATGAAGATGATTACTATAATCCCCAGGGCCACCACTAAGAAAATATAATTTTAAATTTTAGTAAAATAAACAAGAGAATTAAAATAATATAATAGAAAATATCTCCTTAACAAAAAAGTAGGCTGTAATGGAAGAATAAAGTAACAAAAAAAATGAGACATGTCAAAAGCAAATAGCAAAATGGCAGATACATATTCCAAATTGTTAGTAATTGTACTAAAGGTAAATAGATTACACATTCCAAACAAAAGGCGGAGATTGCAGGATGGATTAAAAACCCAACATGATCTCTCTATATACTATCTATCTACAGAAGACAAACTTTATTTTATTTTTTTTTAATGGTGATTTAATTTTCTTTTTTTTTTAATATTATACTTTAAGTTTTAGGGTACATGTGCACAATGTGCAGGTTAGTTACATATGTATACATGTGCCATGCTGGTGTGCTGCACCCACTAACTCGTCATCTAGCATTAGGTATATCTCCCAATGCTATCCCTCCTCCCTCCCCCCACCCCACAACAGGCCCCAGAGTGTGATGTTCCCCTTCCTGTGTCCATGTGTTCTCATTGTTCAATTCCCACCTATGAGTGAGAATATGCGGTGTTTGGTTTTTTGTTCTTGCGATAGTTTACTGAGAATGATGATTTCCAATTTCATCCATGTCCCTACAAAGGACATGAACTCATCATTTTTTATGGCTGCATAGTATTCCATGGTGTATATGTGCCACATTTTCTTAATCCAGTGTATCATTGGTGGACATTTGGGTTGGTTCCAAGTCTTTGCTATTGTGAATAATGCCACAATAAACATATGTGTGCATGTGTCTTTATAGCAGCATGATTTATAGCCCTTTGGCTATATGCCCAGTAATGGGATGGCTGGGTCAAATGGTATTTCTAGTTCTAGATCCCTGAGGAATCGCCACACTGACTTCCACAATGGTTGAACTAGTTTACATTCCCACCAACAGTGTAAAAGTGTTCCTATTTCTCCACATCCTCTCCATCACCTGTTGTTCCCTGACTTTTTAATGATTGCCATTCTAACTGGTGTGAGATGGTATCTCACTGTGGTTTTGATTTGCATTTCTCTGAGGGCCAGTGATGGTGAGCATTTTTTCATGTGTTTTTTGGCTGTATAAATGTCTTCTTTTGAGAAGTGTCTGTTCATGTCCTTCGCCCACTTTTTGATGGGGTTGTTTGTTTTTTTCTTGTAAATTTGTTTGAGTTCATTGTAGATTCTGGATATTAGCCCTTTGTCAGATGAGTAGGTTGTGAAAATTTTCTCCCATTTTGTAGGTTGCCTGTTCACTCTGATGGTAGTTTCTTTTGCTGTGCAGAAGCTCTTTAGTTTAATTAGATCCCATTTGTCAATTTTGGTTTTGTTGCCATTGCTTTTGGTGTTTTAGACATGAAGTCCTTGCCCATGCCTATGTCCTGAATGGTAATGCCTAGGTTTTCTTCTAGAGTTTTTATGGTTTTAGGTCTAACGTTGAAGTCTTTAATCCATCTTGAATTGATTTTTGTATAAGGTGTAAGGAAGGGATCCAGTTTCAGCTTTCTACATATGGCTAGCCAGTTTTCCCAGCACCATTTATTAAATAGGGAATCCTTTCCCCATTGCTTGTTTTTCTCAGGTTTGTCAAAGATCAGATAGTTGTAGATATGTGGCGTTATTTCTGAGGGCTCTGTTCTGTTCCATTGATCTATCTCTCTGTTTTGGTACCAGTACCATGCTGTTTTGGTTACTGTAGCCTTGTAGTATAGTTTGAAGTCAGGTAGCGTGATGCCTCCAGCTTTGTTCTTTTGGCTTAGGATTGACTTGGCTATCCGGGCTCTTTTTTGGTTCCATATGAACTTTAAAGTAGTTTTTTCCAATTCTGTGAAGAAAGTGATTGGTAGCTTGATGGGGATGGCATTGAATCTGTAAATTACCTTGGGCAGTATGGCCATTTTCACGATATTGGTTCTTCCTACCCATGAGCATGGAATGTTCTTCCATTTGTTTGTATCCTCTTTTATTTCCTTGAGCAGTGGTTTGTAGTTCTGCTTGAAGAGGTCCTTCACATCCCTTGTAAGTTGGATTCCTAGGTATTTTATTCTCTTTGAAGCAATTGTGAATGGGAGTTCACTCATGATTTGGCTCTCTGTTTGTCTGTTGTTGGTGTATAAGAATGCTTGTGATTTTTGTACATTGATGTTGTATCCTGAGACTTTGCTGAATTTGCTTGTCAGCTTAAGGAGATTTTGGGCTGAGACGATGGGGTTTTCTGGATATACAATCATGTCATCTGCAAACAGGAACAATTTGACTTCCTCTTTTCCTAATTGAATACCCTTTATTTCCTTCTCCTGCCTAATGGCCCTGGCCAGAACTTCCAACACTGTGTTGAATAGGAGTGGTGAGAGAGGGCATCCCTGTCTTGTGCCCATTTTCAAAGGGAATGCTTCCAGTTTTTGCCCATTCAGTATGATATTGGCTGTGGGTTTGTCATAGATAGCTCTTATTATTTTGAAATACGTCCCATCAGTACCCAATTTATTGAGAGTTTTTAGCATGAAGGGTTGTTGAATTTTGTCAAAGGCCTTTTCTGCATCTATTGAGATAATCATGTGGTTTTTGTCTTTGGTTCTGTTTATATGCTGGATTACATTTATTGATTTGTGTATATTGAACCAGCCTTGCATCCCAGGGATGAAGCCCACTTGATCATGGTGGATAAGCTTTTGGATGTGCTGCTGGATTTGGTTTGCCAGTATTTTATTGAGGATTTTTGCATCAATGTTCAGCAAGGATATTGGTCTAAAATTCTCTTTTTTGGTTGTGTCTCTGCCCAGCTTTGGTATCAGGATGATGCTGGCGTCATAAAATGAGTTAGGGAGGATTCCCTCTTTTTCTGTTGATTGGAATAGTTTCAGAAGGAATGGTACCAGTTCCTCCTTGTACCTCTGGTAGAATTCGGCTGTGAATCCATCTGGTCCTGGACTCTTTTTGGTTGGTAAGCTATTGATTATTGCCACAATTTCAGATCCTGTTATTGGTCTATTCAGAGATTCAACTTCTTCCTGGTTTAGTCTTGGGAGAGTGTATGTGTCGAGGAATTTATCCATTTCTTCTAGATTTTCTAGTTTATTTGCATAGAGGTGTTTGTAGTATTCTCTAATGTTAGTTTGTATTTCTGTGGGATCGGTAGTGATATCCCCTTTATCATTTTTTATTGCATCTATTTGATTCTTCTCTCTTTTTTCTTTATTAGTCTTGCTTGCGGTTTATCAATTTTGTTGATCCTTTCAAAAAACCAGCTCCTGGATTCATTAATTTTTTGAAGGGTTTTTTGTGTCTCTATTTCCTTCATTTCTGCTCTTATTTTAGGTATTTCTTGCCTTCTGCTAGCTTTTGAATGTGTTTGCTCTTGCTTTTCTAGTTCTTTTAATTGTGATGTTAGGGTGTCAATTTTGGATCTTTCCTGCTTTTCTTGTGGGCATTTAGTGCTATAAATTTCCATCTACACACTGCTTTGAGTGCGTCCCAGAGATTCTGGTATGTTGTGTCTTTGTTCTCGTTGGTTTCAAAGAACATCTTTATTTCTGCCTTCATTTCGTTATGTACCCAGTAGTCATTCAGGAGCAGGTTGTTCAGTTTCCATGTAGTTGAGCGGTTTTGAGTGAGATTCTTAATCCTGAGTTCTAGTTTGAATGCACTGTGGTCTGAGAGATAGTTTGTTATAATTTCTGTTCTTTTACATTTGCTGAGGAGAGCTTTACTTCCAACTATGTGGTCAATTTTGGAATAGGTGTGGTGTGGTGCTGAAAAAAATGTATATTCTGTTGATTTGGGGTGGAGAGTTCTTTAGATGTCTATTAGGTCTGCTTGGTGCAGAGCTGAGTTCAATTCCTGGGTATCCTTGTTGACTTTCTGTCTCATTGATCTGTCTAATGTTGACAGTGGGGTGTTAAAGTCTCCCATTATTAATGTGTGGGAGTCTAAGTCTCTTTGTAGGTCACTGAGGACTTGCTTTATGAATCTGGGTGCTCCTGTAATGGGTGCATATATATTTAGGATAGTTAGCTCTTCTTGTGGAATTGATCCCTTTACCATTATGTAATGGCCTTCTTTGTCTCTTTTGATCTTTGTTGGTTTAAAGTCTGTTTTATCAGAGACTAGGATTGCAACCCCTGCCTTTTTTTGTTTTCCATTTGCTTGGTAGATCTTCCTCCATCCTTTTATTTTGAGCCTATGTGTGTCTCTGCACGTGAGATGGGTTTCCTGAATACAGCACACTGATGGGTCTTGACTCTTTATCCAGTTTGCCAGTCTGTGTCTTTTAATTGGAGCATTTAGTCCATTTACATTTAAAGTTAATATTGTTATGTGTGAATTTGATCCTGTCATGATGATGTTAGCTGGTTATTTTGCTCATTAGTTGATGCACTTTCTTCCTAGTCTCGATGGTCTTTACATTTTGGCATGATTTTGCAGTGGCTGGTACCGGTTGTTCCTTTCCATGTTTTGCGCTTCCTTCAGGAGCTCTTTTAGGGCAGGCCTGGTGGTGACAAAATCTCTCAGCATTTGCTTGTCTGTAAAGTCTTTTATTTCTCCTTCACTTATGAAGCTTAGTTTGGCTGGATATGGAATTCTGGGTTGAAAATTCTTTTCTTTAAGAATGTTGAATATTGGCCCCCACTGTCTTCTGGCTTATAGAGTTTCTGCTGAGACATCTGCTGTTAGTCTGATGGGCATCCCTTTGAGGGTAACCCAACCTTTCTCTCGGCCGGGAGTACCTGGCCGTGTGAGCTGTCAGTCTGCCCCTGCTGGGAGGTGCTTCCCAGTTATGCTGCTCATGGGTCAGGGGTCAGGGACCCACTTGAGGAGGCAGTCTGCCCGTTCTCAGATCTCCAGCTGCGTGCTGGGAGAACCACTGCTCTCTTCAAAGCTGTCAGACAGGGACATTTAAGTCTGCAGAGGTTACTGCTGTCTTTTTGTTTGTCTGTGCCTTGCCCCCAGAGGTGGAGCCTACAGAGGCTGGCAGGCCTCCTTGAGCTGTGGTGGGCTCCACCCAGTTCGAGCTTCCCGGCTGCTTTGTTTACCTAAGCAAGCCTGGGCAATGGCGGGCACCCCTCCCCCAGCCTCGCTGCCACCTTGCAGTTTGATCTCAGACTGCTGTGCTAGCAATCAGCAAGACTCTGTGGGTGTAGGACCCTCCGAGCCATGTGCGGGATATAATCTCCTGGTGCGCCGTTTTTTAAGCCCGTTGGAAAAGCGCAGTATTTGGGTGAGAGTGACCCGAATTTCCAGTGCTGTCTGTCACCCCTTTCTTTGACTAGGAAAGGGAGCTCCCTGACCCCTTGCGCTTCCCGAGTGAGGCAATGCCTCGCCCTGCTTTGGCTCGCGCATGGTGCGCGCACCCACTGACCTGCGCCCACTGTCTGGCACTGCCTAGTGAGATGAACCCGGTACCTCAGATGGAAATGCAGAAATCACCCGTCTTCTGCGTCACTCACGCTGGGAGCTGTAGACCGGAGCTTTTCCTATTAGGCCATCTTGGCTCCTCCCAGAAGACAACCTTTAGATCTGAAGATACAAATAGGTTGAAATAAAAGGATGGAAAAAATATGTTATGCAAACACTAACCAAAAGAAAGCTGGAATGGCAATGGTCACAACAGATTTCAAGCAAAAATTATTACTAGAGACAACATTTAAAATTATATCAGAAGCAATCTATCCAAAATATAATAATGATAAATATGTATGCACCTAACAACAGAGCCCCAAAATACATGAAGGAAAAACTTACAGACTTGAGGGGAAAAATAGATAATTCAACAATAATAATAGCTGGATACTTCAATACCACACATTCATTGATAGATAAAACATCTAGGCAAAGGATCGACAAGGAAATAAAAGTCTTAAATGACTATAGTCTTAACAGACAACTATAGAACACTCCACTAAACAACAGCAAAATACACATTTTTCTCAAGTGTACATGGAGAATTCTCCAGGATAAACTACATCTTAGGTCATAAAACAAGCCTCAATAAATGGAAAGGAATTTAGATAATACAAAGTGTGTTCTCCAACCATAATGAAAATTATAAATCAATAACAAAAGAAAATTCAGGAAATCCACATATAACTTGAAAATTAAATAGCACATTTCTAAGCAGCCAGTGGGTCAAAGTAGCTACAAGAGAAATTAGCAAATAGTTTGATATGCGTGAAAATGAAAAAAGCAGCCTATCAAAACTTATGGAATGTAGCTAAAGCAATGCTTAAGGGAAATTTATAACATATATTAAATGTCTACATTAAAAAATAAGAATTTGAAATCAATAACAAACTTTCACTGGAATTATAAGACACTGGAAAAAGAAAAGCAAATTAAACTTAAAGCAAACTGAAAGAAGAGAATAATCAAGATTAGGCAAAACCAGGGACATCTTTAATTATATCTAAAATATCTGACACTTCTTTTGCCTCAAACTAAAGATTAGTCCTGGAATCCATTTAAAGAATGTAGACTCTTTGCCCATGTCTCTAGTGCTACCACTCCCACAAAAAATGTTAGTGCCCTTATTCACCAAGTAGTTAATGGATTGTCTGCTTTAGATAATATACTAAGCTGAGTTTTGATTTTAATCCTCAGAGAATTCACATCTAATTGGGTAATCAATCTGCAAACACTGGCAACATTGTGGACACCCTCCAGGAAGTGAGAATGCAGTTTCCTCTGTGATGGCAAGGACTTTAAGGGTGGGAGATGCTGCTGTTGTTAAACACTCTCTTGATGATCAGTCCAAAGGAGAAGAGCTGGGCAGTGTTCAGCATGTTCAGCAGTGTGGCTTCACTGGCTTCCAATTTGTCTCCAGTCCTCATCAGCTGTACATCACTGAGGATTCCAATAGTGACCCTGGAGATTTTAGTGGTGATGCCTAAAGCCTGGAAGAAAAATGACTTCTTGGGACCCAGACTAGTGTTCTGGGCTGGTACAGTGACTTCAGGTGGAGCAATGGCACCTGCACAGATATCAGCTGGCACCTATTGGCCAGCAGTATGTCCCTAATCTCAGTGAAGACCTCCTTGGTGAACACAAAGCCCACATTCCCTCAGATATGAGGCAACAGTTTCTCCAGAGCTGAGTTGTTTTCTGGATGGCCTCAGATGGTCTTGTGCATTATAGTGTTCTTGTCCATCAGCTCCACAGACTTCCCTCAGAAGTATA
This sequence comes from Homo sapiens, assembly GCF_000001405.40. Taxonomy (NCBI): domain Eukaryota; kingdom Metazoa; phylum Chordata; class Mammalia; order Primates; family Hominidae; genus Homo; species Homo sapiens. The sequence continues at coordinate 156,778,250 of NC_000002.12, forward strand.
TGTGGATCTGTATCTATTTGGAACCCACAATGTCACTTCCACAATGAGGCATTTTGGTTAATCATCTAAAAGTTGGATGCTCTTAAGGAAGAGTTTGGACTTCCAGGTTGTCCTGTCTTCCTTGGATATCATGGAGGCATATCAGGGATTGCCATGCAGGGTTTAAAGACAGTACCACTTTCATTAGGACACCTGGCAAGAGTCTTGTTGGTCACATTTTAGCAAATCTAATACATAAATTTACTTCTTATTTTTTACTGTATAATAGGCACCGCTGTGAATAATCTGTGATTATTTACCTAATTACCAAGTGTTTCAGCGTCCTTGACTCCATTTCTACATTTTAGCCACACTGTATAAAATCATCCCTGAGGAGCTCTTTTATTTTTAGATATAAAGATAATATAAATATAAGATAGCAAGTTATGTTTAAGATATTTGGGGTGGAATATATAAACAAAAATATCAACGTATATATCTTCTTTATTTCTTGAAAATATGTGGTACATGTGAAGATATGGAAAGCTATGTGTGACAAGACAAACATAACAATAGGTGATCTATAGAAATGATTATCTTTACATTCTTCTGTACTTTTGTGCTTCAGTCATCCTCTAATGTCCAGAATCTCTAATGTCTTTACAAATAAATGAATACTATTTTCTCCAATTTTTCAAAGATATATAATTGAGATAACATGAAGTAGGGGAACAGGGTTGAAGCTAGACAGTAAGGCTTTGAAATAATTCAGAAGAGACCACACATACTGAACTGAATTTATTTGAGCCTGTTCTAACCTTTGGATCTTATCCCTCCCAGAGGAGATAAAGAAATCCATCCACCAGTGCGCACCGAAAACACTGAGTCTACTCTCCGATACACTGTTGTGTTAGGCATTATTTCCTGCTTGCAGTACACACAGCTAGAGCATTCAATTCATATATGGTGAGCAGTGGCCAGACATTTCATGACTCTCAAAAATTTTTTCTTGTGGAATAATTTAAATGTTAAAATAACTTTAAATATTTTGCTTTTACTTGTTATGCATTCAGTGTTTAATTCAGAACTGTTGTCTATTATCTTTCCAGGCCTTTATATCTCATATCAAATCTCACAATAAACTTCTCAGTGATTTAAAATACTATTTAAATAAAAAGCTTTTCAAAAGGCCTTATTAGAAGCTGAATTGGGTATCTGAAGGAAGGTTTCCCCTCCTGAAGCCAAAGATGTCTATTTAACTGCTGTGGTACCTAGGCCAAGCATATTGACTGATTTACTGTCACAGATAATCCAGTGTTTGCCTAGAAGCCATTTCAGTTTAAGGGCATGTGGTTTGGCAGGCAGCATTGCTTGCAATAATGTAATAAAACAGAAAAAAAATCCATACCTGGTTGTGAAAGAAGAGAGTCTATTTTGCCAGAGGCAGGTGAAATGGGTCTGCGTGATTTAGTGGTAGGTCAGAGCATAGCCGTATGAAAAAATCCACCATTACTTTTATTTCTGAAAATGACCACATTCTTTAGAGTTCCTAAATCCTGTGCACTGTTTAGTAGTAGGAAGTAGGGGGAAGGTTACTAATTTTATTTGTCTTTTGAAGCCATTAGTTTATGATGGTGCTATTACATGGTTGCTCTGGTCAAAGTTCTTTTGGTGCAACAATCAGAATGTCATGTAAGCTTGCTCAACTCTCATAAAATCAGAGACCAGGGAAAGAGATAGAGGTAGGCTTCAGATAAGGTAGAACTGGGATAGAGAGTCCACTTCCTATCTCTAGGGATGCCAGCCTTCCTCTTTGCTGCTCCTTCCAGCAAATCAACTCCATTCTTCTCTTTCAACACACTGGCTTCCTCTGCTGGCCCAGAATCTCAAATCACTGCATTTTCTACTTTGTCCTTTTCTTTATCATAGCTTTTATGTCACAAGTTTCACTGCTAAGGAACTGAGTTTCTCAAGCTTCCTTTTTCAAATTTCCCAAGAATAGAAGAATAGAATCCATTTGGATCAATTCATCTAAGTTTTTTTTTTTGCTTGTTTTTTGTTTTTTGTTTTTTTTTGAGATGGAGCCTAGCTCTGTCACCCAGGCTGGAGTGCAGTGGCATGGTCTTGGCTCACTGCAAACTCTGCCACCTGGGATCAAGCAATTCTCCTGCCTCAGCCTCCTGAGTAGCTGGGATTACAGATGCGCACCACCACGCCCGGCTAATTTTTGTATTTTTAGTAGAGATGGGGTTTTGTTATGTTGGCCAGGCTGGTCTTGAGCTCCTGACCTCAGGTGATCTGCTGGCCTCGGCCTCCCAAAGTGCTGGGATTGCAGGCATGAAACATCATACCTGACTGAATTCATCTAAGTTTTGATCAAAGTTTTTGCACAAATCAGACAAGAGAGAGAAATAAAGGGCATCCAATAGGCCAGGTGCGGTGGCTCATGCCTGTCAGAAATTTGGAAAGCCGAGGTCAGCGGATCACTTGAGGTCGGGAGTTCGAGACCAGCCTGACCAACATAGTGAAACTCCATCCCTGCTAAAAATACAAAAATTAGCTGGGCATGGTGGCGCATGCCTATAATCCCAGCTACTCAGGAGGCTAAGGCAGGAGAGTTGCTTGAATCCAGTAGGCAGAGGTTGCAGTGAGCCGAGATAGCGCCATTGCATACCAGCCTGGGTAACAAGAGCAAAACTCTGTCTTGAAAAAAAAAAAAAAAGAAAGAAAAAGAAAAAGAAATAAAGGGCATCCAAATTGGTAAAGAGGAAGTCAAGCTGTCACTGTTTGCTGATGATATGATCATTTACTCTGAAAACCCTAAAGACTCCTCCAGAAAGCTCCTAAAATTGATAAAAGAATTCAGCAAAGTTTCCAGATACAAGATTAATGTACACAAATCAGTAGCTCTTCTGTACGCCAACACCAACCAAATGGAGAATCAAATCAAGAACTCAACCCTTGTTACAATAGCTGCAAAAAAAAGTAAAATACTTAGGAATATACCTAACCTAGGAGTTGGAAGTCCTCTACAAGGAAAACTACAAAACACTGCTAAAAGAAATCATAGACGACACAAACAAATGGAAACACATCCCATGATCTTGGATGGGTAGAATCAATATTGGGAAAATAACCATACTGCCAGAAGCAATCTACAAATTCAATGCAATCTCTATCAAAATACCATCATCATTATTTACAGAATTAGATAAAGCAATTCTAAAATTCATATGGAACCACATAGCCAAAGCAAGACTAAGCAAAAAGAACAAATCTGGAGGCATCATGTTAACGGATTTCAAACTATACTATAAGGCCACAGTCACCAAAACAGCATGGTGCTGGTATAAAAATAGACACATAAACTGATGGAACAGAATAGAGAACCAGAAATAAACCCAGTAGTTACAACCAACCGATCTTGGACAAAGCAAATGAAAACATAAAGTAGGGGAATGACACCCTTTTCAACAAATGGTGCTGGGATAATTGGCTAGCCACATGTAGGAGAATGAAACTGGATCCTTATCTTTCACCTTACACAAAAATCAACTCAAGATGGATTAAGGACTTAAACCTAAGACCTGAAACTATAAAAATTCTAGAAGATAACATCAGAAAAACTCTTCTAGACGTTGGCTTAGGCAAGAATTTCATGACCAAGAACCCAAAAGCAAACACAATAAAAACAAAGATAAATACCTGGGACCTAATTAAATGAAAGAGCTTCTGCACAGCAAAAGGAACAGTCAGCCGGGTAAACAGACAACCCACAGAGTGGGAGAAAATCTTTACAATGTATACATCTGACAAAGGACTAATGTCCAGAATCTACAACAAACTCAAACAAATCAGTAAGAAAAAAATAAACAATCCCATCAAAAAGTGGGCTAAGAACATGAATAGAAAATTCTCAAAAGAAGATATATACATGTCCAACAAACATACGAAAAAACGCTTAAAATCACTAATGATTAGGGAAATGCAAAGCAAAAACCCAATGTGATACCACCTTACTCCTATAAGAATGGCCATAATCAAAAAATAAAAAAACAGATGTTGGTGTGGATGCAGTGATCAAGGAACACTTCTACACTGCTGGTGGGAATGTAAACTAGTACAGCCATTATAGAAATCAGTAAGGAGATTCCTTGAAGAACTAATAGAACTACCATTTGATCCAGCAATCCCACTACTGGGTATCTACCCAGAAGAAAAGAAGTCATTACTCAGAAAAGATACTTGCACAAGCATGTTTATAGCAGCACAATTCACAACTACAAAATCATGGAACCAACCCAAATGCACATCAATCAACAAGTGGATAAAGAAACTGTGATATCTATATATCTATATATATATATATATGATGGAATACTACTCAGCCATAAAAAGAATGAATTAACAGCATTTGCAGTGACCTGGATGAGATTAGAGACTATTATTTTAAGTGAAGTAACTCAGGAATGGAAAACCAAACATCATCTGTTCTCACTGATATGTGGAAGCTAAGCTATGAGGACACAAAGGTATAAGAATGATACAATGGACTTTGGGGACTTGGGAGGAAGAGTAGGAGGGGGGTGAGGGATAAAGGACTACAAATATGGTGCAGTGTATACTGCTTAGGTGATGGGTGCACCAGGATCTCACAAATCACCACTAAAGAACTTACTCATGTAACCAAATATCTGTACCCTAATAACTCATGGAAAAATAAAAAAATATGTTTTTGCACCAGATAATATCATAGGTCCCTTGTCAGCCTATAAATTGGTGCCTCAAATGTGATGTGTCAGGTCACTTGTCATGTGGTCTACCATGCATTCAGCATGGACTATGGACAGGAAAGGCAACAAGTAGTAGGCATGTCTAATATAATATTAGCTTCTAATTTTATTAAAGTTGGCTATGCCTTCTTTTATTAAAAAGTGTTGAGTGCCTGCTATATGCTACTATGCTGAGTTCTCCATGCCACCTTCTGGAAATACAACTGTCCACAAGATGGAAAATCTCTGTTCTTCACTGATTTGGCCTGGCCGCTTCATCCTTAGTTTCCCTCAAGCAAATTTATTCAGTGTGTACTTTATTTAGGCTGTATACTCCCACTTCTGAATCTCATAATATTCCATATCCTAAAGACCCCTGCTTATAGTAATGCATGAAGCCCTACCATTTTTATTATTCCAAAAGCTGTGTAAAGCCTATTCTTTCACAAAGTGTTTTCACTCCATCCTGTATCAAAACCACTCGCAATTTCTTACCAGCCCTTCACTTTACCTTTTGGGTATTTATCACCTTAAAATGTTCTTCCTTTAGTCTTTATCCTCTTTCCCTATCTCAGCTTACAGAATGCCCCTGGGCTGATTAGAAGACTGTGTTATTGAACAAGTTGAAGCCATAGTATTCTATATAAATGTACATTTGGCTTAAATTATTCCCTGTAAGTTAGACTTGAAGAAGGATTTAACTTTATTATACACAAATTTGCTTTTCCAGTACGAGACTGTGCAAAGGCATTTCCTGTAGTACAAGAAATTGGCTAAATAAATGTGATTCTCTGGTGATTCATTGAGCTGGTAAAAATCCAGGTACACTATTGTTTCTTTCTATAGGTACTTTAGCAAACCAAGTGAATAGCCCACTAGAGAAAAGTTGTCACTTTCACTGATTCATCAACACTTTTCCCAGCAATCACAGTACCTGCACCATCTGTGTTTAGTACTTTACAAAAAAAAAAAAGAAGAAGAAGAAAAAAAGGCTCTTTGCAACTGCCGTACAAATCAGGGGCACTAACAAGGTCACACAGACGGGAATTTCAGGACTCCAAGAAGATGTTCTACTGCATGGCAGTAAGCAATAACAGCATTATACACAAGTTCTCCAGCATCCCAGGCTGCTCTGCTCCAGCCTAGAGCTGCTTTGGGTCCACTGGGAAATGTGTATTATGCCTGGGTTAATTTGCTGATTAATCTCTAGTCAGTGGTTTGTGCTTTCCCCAGATGGCCAATTAAAATTTACAACTGGCAGAACAGTGTCCTGTTGGCAGGCTGCTGAGGGGCTAAACCTAGAGGCAGTGACAGAAGGCATGGGCCGAGTTTTGCCTTGTTTTGCCCTCCCCTTTTCTTTATTTCTCTCTCTTGCTCTTTTTTAAGCTCTGGATTTATTCAGAGGAAAGTGTAAGCTGGGCTTATGCGGTAAGTGTGAGATGTGGGGTGTAGTTTACAACTCTGCTGCTATTTACTCTTCAACACTCTCAGGGCCGCTCCAGTATTCCAGGCATCAACGGTTTTACCCACAGCAAATATAGCTGACAAAATCAGCCAGGGGGCACAACTGATTTAACAGCTTCTGAAATGTAATAGCCTTTTTTTTCCCCCTGATTTGCAGTCCCCGTGGAGTGATGGTCTAATATCATTCACTTCCTCACAAATATATAAAACATTTACAGGTGTTTGTGTAAATCAAAGGCAAAGTGCTGTGTGTGAAGCTGATAATAAGTAATGCTGTGATATATATAAAAGATAACATACTTTTACAGCAGTAGCCCCCCAAATTAACTGCTACTTTTTACTTAGCATTCTATACAAATTGCATTGTATACACATGTGAATAAAACATACAGCAAGGAATTTAATTAAAGAAATACATTTGATATTACTCTTTATTTTATAGTGAAATATTTACCATGTGCTTCAAATACATATGAGTCATCTGGATTGGAAATTTTGAAGGAAATTTAATCGACTACCATTGATCTTTACATAAGCCAAACATGGTAATGATGTATGGTATTATGATAGTTTTTTATTTCATTAACTGTTGATAATAGTTGCCAGAAAATAAAATAAATACATTTCTTGATACAGAAAAAACATTTTTAAGATGCATGTTACATTATTGATGGTAAAAATAGTTTAGGGGACTCAAGTATAAGTCTCACATTAAATAAACAGGAAGGGAGGTGGTATTGTGTTAAGTTGCCTTTATGTAAAATGTATAAAATTTTGGATATTTTGGATTCTGTTATTATGAACAGCATATGATGCATAATTTACATATTGGACATTGAGTCCCTATTAGACATTGAGCCCCTATTAGATCAAACCTCAAGTTCACACATGGCACTCTGTGAGTCATATTCACTATGCCATCTACCACAACAGATATGTAATTGTTAAATTAATTTTTATGAAATAAAATTTAAAAGTATTTAGAGACATGTTAAGTTCCTTATGGACAATGACTCTATCTTGTTAAGCTTTGGTCACAGCACCAAGAATACTACCTTGTACATCATATATATAGTGAGCTTTCAAGAAATGTTTGAATATTACATTAAGAAATAATCCTTCATCAAATAGGAAAAACTAAATTTACTCCCTGCAAGATTTTCCATGTCAACCTCCATCTAAATGATATCTCTCGGAATATTTTTCAGAAGGGAGTCTCTCATGTGTTCTGGCCTTGAATAGTACTTGTCCACATGATCATAGGATCCTTTGTGGCAAACATCATGTATCCCAACTTTTTTGATCCTCCACAGTGTTAGCACCAGTGTATCTGCACAATAAATGTATCTTGAATTGTATTCAAAGTGCTTCCTGTATTGCTGCTATACTTTACAGAAACAACTCAATTTCGTTGGTAAATCTTTCATACTATGATGCCAAACCTTAACTATGCAGGATTTCAGTTCAACTTTTAAGGGAAGTGGTATAGGCCAAAAGAATTATAAATGGGATATCCGCAGACAAGACAGAATATATTTTTTTGTCTAATCACATAGACTACAAATTTCTTTGAGGTTTTACCCATTAAACAAAGCACTTTTATGTAGTATATTTGTTATTGTGAGATATTTGGCAATACTTAAATCATATTTGTTCTCAGTGGATTTGGGGAGTTTGTATTTAACTAGTAGCTGATGCTCTGACTCACTGGTGAGATGCTAGGACCCAGATAAGAGGCGATACAGTACTCCTAGTTGGAATTGATCCATGAATCATCATGTCTTAATGGATGGACTGCAAGTTAACTTCACATGTATTTATTAAGCACATATTCTATTCAATGTACTGTGTTAAATACTATTGGGCATCAGATATAGTTCCAAATATCAAGAAGTGTGTGATCTATGAGCCAAAATAAGAGAAGGCATAATCTGATTACTGGCAAAGATAGGGTACAAAGACACATGTAGGACGCATATTAGGAAATGACTGATTTTTGTCTGAAAGCATTGGGAAAGCCTTCCTGGGGGAGGTGAGCCTGATGGAATAAGAAGGGAGAAGGGAAGGGGAATTTCCAGGAAGAGGGAATTGCATGAGCAAAGGTATAAAGGTGGAAAGATCTTAATTTAGTTTAGGGAGTAAGAATTGACAAAAGGATGATAAGAATGTGTGAGTATGGGTACAAAATGAATCTGGAAAGGTCAATTGGTAAATTTGAGGTAGAGAAATTTGAACTGAGTTTTTGATCAAGGCAGAGTCTTCAAATTTGTTAGGCACAGAAGTCATCCTAGTTATATCTTCATTTAACAATTAATAAGAGATGTGGAAATCTGGCAGTCGAAAGAGAAGTTGGCACTATTACAATAAATTAAACAAGAGGTATGAGAGTGGCTGACCTAGCCATGATGGTGGGAATAAAGAAGATGATGAAGAGCAGAGGTATCTGTGATGCAGAACTGACAAGACAGGATGACGATTAGGACGTTGAGGATAAGGAAGAAGGTAAAGTCAGAGATGGTCTCAAGTTTCTAGGCTGGGAGCCAAAATGGGAGGCAATGCCCTTACAAGGAAAAATATGACAATGGAAAGATTATGTTTATAGGGGAAGAGAGTCCACTGAATTTTTTATTTGTTGATTGTGAGGCATTGACAAAGTATCATTTTTTTTCTATATATAACATATTGTTAGAAATACAGGTCTGCAATTGGAAGTGAGTTAAAGACTAGTGTTGTGTGCTGGGCGCAGTGGCTCACGCCTGTAATCCCAGCACTTTGGGAGGCCAAAATGGGCAGATCACCTGAGGTTGGGAGTTCGAGACCAACCTGACCAACACGGAAAAACCCCATCTCCACTAAAAATACACAATTAGCCAGGTGTGGTGGCACATGCCTGTAATCCCAGCTACTCGGGAGGCTGAGGCAGGAGAATTGCTTGAACCTGGGAGGCAGAGGTTCGGTGAGCCAAGATCACACCATTGCACTCCAGCCTGGGCAATAAGAGCGAAACTCCGTCTCAAAAAAAAAAAAAAAAAAAAAAAGACTAGTGTTGTGGATTTGTTGGTTACCTGTGTAATGCTGTGTGTAATGTATTAACTGAAGTAATCGGGATGGATAATATTGTCACTGGTCAGCTGACAGTACACACTGGCTTCACCACACAGATTATTAAAGTATTAGATTACTTCTCTATGGAGTGGTAAATATAGCTGTCCCAAGCTCTCCAACGTAACCTCTCCCTGAACCATCCTGGCACCTCTAGAGAGAACCTGTGACTACTGCAGCAAAAAGACAATTAGAAAGTTAACATCTGCCCAGCATAAGGCCTCCAGCAAACTAAGGCAATGCTGGGGCTCTGCCTATTCTCAGTGGTTGATGCCATTTTTAAATATAAATTTTTTTGGTCATTCTTACCCACAGAAGGACTTTACAGCAAGAATAGAAGCAAGCTGAGGTGTATGCCAGATGACATGACAGGTAGGAAGAAGTGCTCACAAGGGACATAAGCCTTTCTCATCTTTGTACCTACTATACTCTTTAAGTTAGTTGCCATGGTGGGACATATAATGAGATAAATTAAAAAGACATTATATAATAGAGTTTTTATTGTGCGATGATACAGTTAAATAACAAGATGGCATATGCAAAGATGATCAGTATAAACTTGTAATTCTTTTCTTGTATTTTAATGGGCACACAATTTGGGAAAATGCATTCATGTGAGGCAAAGAGTTGTGAATAAAAAATGTTGTATTATACACAAATTTACGAAGTTTTATTCTATATAATCCTGCAGAACTTAACTTATACAATCTTCTGAACTGAAGGGAATTGAATTTCCCTGAAATTATTATGCCCACTGCAACACACAATGTTTCATTAATATGTCCACATTTTCTTTTTTAAAATTATGCCTACATTTGGGAAAACTTAAAGGTACATAATCTAGAAAAATGCAAAACAGGGAGAGCACATTGAGTCCATACCAGAAACAATCGCTTTTGACTACTGGATCATGAATATCTTACCTACAAGCTTCACATATCCTTGTGACTATTTTTGAGCAAACTATAAATTCTTAGATCTCAGACTTTTCCCTGATTTTTCTTTTTGTTAGGTAGAATAGAACGTAACAGATCATTCTAAGGCAGGATTGTTGGAGTTTTCCAGTTGAAAGGTCATGTAGCAAAATCAGTGTGCTAGCTGTAATCTTATCATGCCTTTCTCAGCATGGGAGAAATTTAAGTATTCATGATATTGTAATTACACATACTGATCCTGTTTCACTAATGACCTTGGACGAGAGTTAGAAAGGTATGTTTTCCCCTCATCACAAGAAAAAAAATTACTTATTCTAATTATTTGCTATTGAATTTATATTATACAATTTTTATAAATAATTTGATCCGACAATTAATTGGTCCTACAAATGCCATTCTTTTCTTTCATCATCTACTTTCAGAGAGAACAATTTTGAAGACATATTTCTAAGTTATTGTCCAGTGAATTACAGTGAATAAGTCTTACATAAATGATAAAAATGTAAATATTAGATCTATGCCCCAATAAAGAGGTGGGTCAGAATATTGTAAGATATTACAGGGGGCACCCCAGCTTATTGTCACTATTTTCATTCTTTTAAATGTACATTCTTAATTGTACACTTAAGCAATGTAGAGTGGGGTGAGCCCATAGCTACTTTTTGCATAAACATATGTATGATTATTTAATCAAATATCAAATCAACCCTTGCCTGTTTTACAGTGACCCGCAACACTTTCTAGTAAGGATTTTCGAAACTGCCAGTTCAGTACCAAGCAATATTGGTATATCTACCCCCAGTGCTTTTGGTAGTCAACACAATTTACATTCCTCTCCAGAATGGGCACAGACATACTGAGGCATTTGGTGCATTTAATGAGATTTTTACATGAAAATATTTTTATTTTACCTTAATTAGGCAATTAAAATAAAATAATGAACTCTTAACAGCTAGATGGGTCAAACACAAGTTAAAAGAAGGCCTTTTGCTGTGTTTCATTCTTTTAGTCTAAGATAGTGAATAATAAAATGTGGAACAAATAAAATACTTATTATTAGGACAATGAATTCTTATTTGAAAATCCAAATGACATGAAACAATTATAACCTTGGTGAAGAAATAGCTACTCATTTGCAAACTCATGTTATATGCCTAAACACTGTACTTTGGGAGATGATATAGGGACAGGTAAGTTGTAGGATGGCTGTGTATGAGCTGAGATCCTCCAATGATGCAACTACATGGGACCAAATTAATGTAGGTAATGCCTGAAGAAGATAAAGGCCATAACTGATGAGACTGCATGACTATATGCAAAATAAACAAATAAGCTAATAAATAAAACCAAAGAGAGACAGAAAGTAGGAAAAGAAATAAAAAAGAATGAACAAATGAAAGGAAGAAACAACTTTTAAAATAATTTTTAAGTGTAACATCAAGGCAAAGTTTTCCTTTCTAGAGGGTGAGCAGAACTTTGAAAATGCAAAGCTATGATGTCTGTCAAAAAGTTCAGGCATATTAACTGTTGCTCAAATTTTAGTGCCTGTTTGCAGAATCTGTGACACTGAGTGTAAGTGAAAGGGGCAGGTAGAAAGAAGATCCCTTTAAATTAATATATATGCATTATAATGATATATAATGTTTATGCATTATTATTATTCATTTTGTTAGTTATGTATAGTTTTACTCATTCATTTATTCACTAAATACCTTTATTATCTAACACAGGAAACACATACCATTGAATAAAACAGAAATGCCCCTACTGTCACAGAGCCTATATTATAGTTGGTAGGGAACAGACCATAAACCAATACATATGAAATAATTATAATGCTTATTAATGCTATGGAGAAAAATATGGCGGAAGTCAGGTTACGGAATGGCCTAGAAGAAGCATTTCAATTTTAAATAGGAATATCAGGAAAGGTCTCATTAAGATGGTAACTTACAACCAAACACATAAGGCAGGTGAGGGAGTAGGCTTTATGGGAAGGCAGAGAAGTCCAAGCATGGGCCTGGCATGTTTAAGGAAAAGGAAGAAGTCAGGGTGCTGGCAGTATGATAAGGAAGAAGTGAAGTAAAAGAAACTGTGGTCTAAGAGGTCAGAGAGGATTTCATGGGGCCTTTTAGACTAGTGAAAGATGAATTTTTTGCATTGTTTCTTTGTTTTTGTATTTTTGGTTTACTTGGAGATGCTGTTGGAGGTTGTGAGCAAAGTGACAAGGAGACAAGAGCAAAAGTAGGGTCATCTTCTAGGAGGCTATAAAATCCAAGGCAGAGGCAGTGGTGGTTTGATGATAGTCATAAAAGGAGAAAGATGTGGTTGGCTAATGATCTACTTGAAAGGTGGAGCTGTAAACATGGGCTGATGAATTGCATGTGGGTTTCAAGAGAAAGAAAGAAGGCAAAGATTACTCCAAGTCTTGGACCCTGAGTAACTTGAATGGAGTCACTATTTTCCGACATGAGCTGAGATTGCTAGAGAAGTAGGATTGGAGTGAGAGGTGAAGAGGATTTGAATATATTCAAATTTAAGATATTTTAAGATGTTGAGTAGGTGGCTAAATCTATGAACTTGGAATTTAAGAAAGACAGGTGGGAATTAGTAACACATATTTGGAAGTAGTGAGTACACAATTGCAATTAAAACCAGCAGATTGGATGAGTTTCACCCTTGACATGAGTGGAGATTAAGAAGAGGGAGGTTTGAGGGCTGAGCTTTGAGGGTTTTCAATGCATAGAAGCTGGATAGAAAATGAGGAAAAAAATAACAGAAGAAATTGAAAAGTAGTGACCAATGAGGTGGGAAAAAGATCAAGAGGATGTGTTTTAGAAGTTAAGTGAATCAAATACTTTCAGAATGAAGGAGTAAACAATCGTATCAAATACTACAGATGTGTCAAGTAAGGATTGAAAATTAATCACAGATCCTTGTTTTTATGGATACCCTTTGGAATTCCGAACTAGAATAGAAGCTTCAGTTTTATCTGATGTCATATTAGAACAAAAGCAATAACAAGTTTGTTCAGTACACTTTCCATCTGCAACACAGCGATCAGAATGACTAGCTGATGTGAACCTGAGTAAATTTTCACCTGCACAAAAAAGAAAATGAAGAGTCCTTCCTATAGGACAATGATACAAAGAGAATCTGAAGGTTCATGGTTTTCTATTAATAATTTGAAATGCAGTCTCATTTTTTCAAAGGTTGCTATTCTGCATAATTTAATGATAATGTGAGGAAATGAAAAGGCCCCAAGAGAAGTTGTCATATACTTGGGAAGTACCATAGATTCATACCACGTTAGGAAGTTCTTCGATCACAGGGCAGCTTGAGCTGCACCTTTGGATCCACTTCTTACTTGAGCCATGTTGCAAGGGGAGGCGTGTACTAGGAAACATCCCAAGGGGGCTCTGGGGACGAAGGGTCTGCCTACTAGGTCTCAAGGGCATCTTTATGGAAAAAGAAATTCTAGCGTTGGGTAGTGAAATTTGTGAGACTTCATGTTCTATTTTTATAATGATTTTTCATAAATAAGCAAAAACATGTTTCTGTGAGGAAGAGAAGCAAAGGTTAGTGACTACAAGCAAAAACAATGGTTTGGTAAGAATTTTAGATGTATCTCAAAGAAAATAAAGTCATTTTTGCAGCAGTTTCAAAAACTTACCAACTGTGGGAAAAAAATTTGTATAACAAATGCATTACATACAACAGTATCTAAATGTAATAAAAGTGAAGCAATCACTCACTTGGTAAATATTTTTATTGGGGATCTACTATATTCTAGATCATTTTGCTAGCACACAGAATACATGCTTTCAGAAGATTTATAATGAGAGTTCCCATTAAACTTAGTTTCATTTCATACGTCAAGGAACATTATCTGTCTACAGCAGACTGCGTGTTTGGTGAGGCATTGCCACATTCACAAGAATCTCTGTCCCTGTGATAAACTGGAATATAACGCTGATTCCTAAAGCCTGGAGCTGAGAAAGAGTTTTACCTCTCTTCCACACAAAGCACAGGACTTTCCTGCCAGAAGAAGACAGCAAGCGGCTCTGCAGAACAGGCTTTGCCTAACTCGCCCACTTGACTGCACAAATGGAGAAAGTGGGAGAGTGAGTGTTCATGGCAGGAAGAAGAGAGAGGATACTGTACAGACACTGACCTTTAAGGCACATTAACGCTCACGTAACAAGTCGCCCAGTTAATGTCCTGGGCTCTGAACAACCAGATTAACAGCTCTTCCTCCCTGGTCGGGGGATGAGGAGACCAGCCAAAGCCCTCTTTCCAAAGACCTTAGTTTTCTCATATATATAATGAAGCAGTTATTATGAAATTCTCAGATACCATCCAGCCTAAAATTCCACGTGGCATAAAAACAGAATTTTGAAGATAATATGTACATTAACACTTTTAAATCCTGCATTTTAAAAGGATTGGCATATATTTGCTTCTCAAGCTGTGGTGGGTAGAATCAGCTTCAGCTGGAAATTGTTAGAAATAGAGTCTTCAGGACTTACCCCTGGTGAACCGAACCAGGATCTGCATTTTAACATGAGTCCCATTTTATATGCACATCTAAGGCCACATTCAGACCAATCTTTGAGTAGCAAGTTTATAGAGATAAAACCACAAGGTTCGTTGAATTTCAATAATAGTCTGTTACACTAAGACAATTACAAACGGACAGCAGTTCTCCTTACCATTCTTTGAGGGTTCTATTTACTACAGAGAATTACAATGTAACTAATAAATAGAAAATCTGTCTAATGACATCTAGGATTGTCATTTCCCATTCGGTTAGGGAAAGAAAGGAAAAATGCCTTCTTGGTACTTGTCTTCTACATATATATTGAAATTTTATTTAAACTTACAATATCATCTACTTACACCTCCCTGATTCCCTTGTTTGTGCTACTTTGAGATTCTCAAAATGTTTGCCTGACTATTCTGAGTCTTCTCCCAAGGACTATTTTGGAAAGGACTTTCTAAAGTTATCAGGAACTTATATGAAGTTCTTTAAAGATCATTGAAAATCAATTGCTTTGAAATCAACTATGTATTTTGGCTTATTCTAAAAACTATAAAAGAAATTATAAAAATATAACCGTTGCACATGTCTATCAACATACTTATTGTCAAATTTTCTTGTTCCTCATTCAAATGTATAACTTAATTTTATTTGGATGAACTTAAATAAATCTGATATGAAATTTAAATCATACAATTATTTTAGTATAATTTCAAGACTTATTAATCATAGAGAAATATGAAAAATGATTAAAATACTTTAGTATGAGTTGTTCTTAAATATAGAAAACATCTTATCCTGAAATGTGAAGAAGGAAAGTTTAAGAAAATACCTAGAAGGAAATGGCACACCGTTATTGCAATCCAAGGAGCACTGATAGCTAGCAGTTAACAGTATTTTTAGTTGTAAATACGGAAAGCCTAATCAGTGTAATTTCACAATAAGAAAATTTTTACTGTCTTCAGTGACTTAAAAATACAGAGATAGCCTGGCTTTCAGTGATTCTGGACCCAATGGCTCCAGGTTTTTGAACAGGACTTGATTTCTTTCTTTCCATTCATTTCCTCCTCTCTACAGGCCTCCAACCTCAGCCAGCTCCCCTCTTGACATCACATTGGCTGACAGCAGCTTTCAGCTCTAGGTGCTTTCTTGATTTACTTCAGCAAAGAAAAAATACAATGCTTTTGTCTCAATATTTTTAGTAAAATTCTGAAACCTAGTGTGATCGAACCAACTTAGGACCCATGCTCACTTCTAAAGCAGTAACTCAACCAGGGGGATGAAATGCACTGATTAATCTAGTCTTAAACAAGCCTCCATGCTTGATCTGAGGAAGGCGTGAACTTACCTAGAAGCACGTAAATATCTCATTGGAAATAAGGTTCCAGGTGATAGAAAAAAGGGAAATGCATGCTGAAACAGCAACCAACATTCACTCTACCTGGCCTGATAGCTAGCTTTCCCTGATGGGAAAGTAAACAAGTGAAATTTCATTTGGTGGTAGGTGTATTTTCATATTTGCATTAAAAATACCCTAAGGGGAAAAAGTAAGGACATTCTGGAGGTAAGATTTAAGATGACAGACAGAAAGAGAGCTGAAGAGTTCCTAAAATCTAAAATCAAACTTGGTTCAGAAATATGGGAAGCACCCTTACTTATTTGAAAAATATTTTGGGATTGAAAAATAAATTTAATTATACAAATACTTTTACTTAAAAAATAAAATACTTCATATTGTGTGGGTGCTGTTATCCTTCTGAAACAAAGACACAATCCTGTTTTTCCTCTAATCAGAAACATTTCGTGATGACCCATTGCTTATAGGGTAAAATCTAAACTCCTTAACAAGAGGGTTTCCACACAATCTATCTCTAATATTTCTATCTTTAATTTCTTCAGTTCATTCTGCCCTTCCCCACCTCACGTTCTTGCCTCTGTGAACTCTGCACTTTTCTCCTTCCCAGACCCGCCAACCATTTTCGTAAGTTCTTGCCTTTACTTATTTGTGTCTTTACCTGGGACACACCTCTCCTCTATTTAGCCTCATACCTCACCCCATGCTTCTGATTCTATGAGGCAGGAGGCCCCTTTCTGCTTTTGTGCCATGGTTATCACACTTATCCCCTTCACAGTGTTATTACTGGTTGCCTCTTATTTTACTGTAAACTAGTTGAAGGTTGTGAAAATGTTTTATTCAGGTTTGTGTAGTCAGAACCCAAGACACAATAGTCTTTCAGTAAATGTATATAGTCAGTTAAATTTTAAGGCACTCAAGGATAACAGGAAACACTGCATTCAAGAAAGCATTTTTTTTTTAACATCAGGGATTATAAATTCAAATTACTGGTTTGACACAAATCATTGTAGATAGATAGATAGATAGATAATTTGGTTAGTTTTTTTAAATGAAATATTGTTGTTTTCAAATTTTACTGTTACATTAAATGTTTGTCCAAACAGGTCATATACTAGGAAGCTTCTTTGTTGAGGTAGAAGTTATAGGAGGAGTTATTTCTAGAATTAGCAGATTATTGAATTTGTTAAACATCTAGTTGCTTATAGTCAGGCACAAGAGTTATATTATAAAAAAGAAATATGTGAATGATGCATGTGTAGTTTTATGGGAAATTGCCAGCGATTTTGGGAAATACTATATATACAGTATTGGAGTTCAATGTAACATATAATCACAGTTTACTTGTCACTTGTCTACCTCTAGTCTTGGTAAGTAATACAAGATACAAGTAGAAAGAACCATAATGGGGTCAAACATTATTATTTGGGAGAAAGGGATTCAACTAATAACCGGGATATTCAATCTACCCACTGAGCCTCAGTGTCCCAGTTTATGAAATGAAAGCATTCCAAGAAAAGTCAATAAATTTTGTTCTCTGACATTTTGAAGCAACTTACTGAAACCTAAAACTTTGGGTAATTTGTTTTCCCTTCCAAAGATATCATCTCATGTCTTTAAAAATATTTTTCAGTGATATTGGCAGCATTCAATGTATTTCAGAACATTTTTATAATTTTTTAGAGAGTAGAACATAAAATTAACATATACTTAATAATGAAACAGAATCTTTATTTTGTGTGTGTGGTTTTTGTTTTGGAAACCAGTGAAAAATTACTCTTAATTTAATAAATAAACTGTTTAATATGGTTTGGACACAAAACTAAGGTGAAAATACAATTAGTGAGTCTTTTTAAAAGATGATACATATTTAAAGACGGCATATCTGGCTGGGCGTGGTGGCTCATGCCTGTAATCCCAGCACTTTGGGAGGCCAAGGCGGGCAGATCATGAGGTCAGGAGATCGAGGCCATCCTGGCCAACATAGTGAAACCTTGTCTCTGCTAAAAAATACAAAAATTAGCTGGACGTGGTGAACTGTGCCTGTAATCCTAGCTACTTGGGAGGCTGAGGCAGGAGAATTGCTTAAATTAGGGAGTCGGAGGTTGCAGTGAGTCGAGATCCTGCCACTGCACTCCAGCCTGGTGACAGAGTGAGACTCCGTCTCAAAACAAAACAAACAAACAAACAAAAAGTCATGTCTAACAGCGATTCAAGCATTTGATTCAAGCATTCATATCTAACATAGTGATTCAAGCATTTGAACATAATTTCAGCAAGTATATAGCCTTCAAAAATTTTACTGCTAAACGCAAGAAAGATATGGTTTGTTGAAAAATTAATTGACCTAATTCCCTGAGACTGAGGAAATATGAATATGGTTAAGAACAAAAGCTAAGTCATCTATGAGTTCAAATCTAAAATCTATTAAAAAGAAATAGTCACAGGGTTGTTATGAGGATTGAACAATATACATTCATTACAAAACACAATGCCTAGAATAGTCAGCCTTCAACAATTTTTGTTGTTGTTGTTGTTGTGATGAAGTCTCAGTCTGTCGTCCAAGCTGGAGTACAATGGCACTATCTTGGCTCACTACAAACTCCACCTCCTAGGTTCAAGCGATTCTCCTGCTTCAGCCTCCTGATTAGCTGGGATTACAGGTGCTCACCTTCATGCCTGACTAATTTTTGTATTTTTAATAGAGATGTGGTTTCACCATGTTGGCCAGACTGGTCTTGAACTCCTGACCTCAGGTGATCTGCCCGCCTTGGCCTCCCAAAGTGCTGGGATTACAGGCGTGAGCCACTGCACCCAGCCTCAACAAATGTTTTCTATTGATTATTATTACCTAATAATAATCACATAATCAGATAATATGTCAAGTTGTTACAGTTTGTTAAAGATGTTAATTTGTTCATCTGTCCTTAAATATTCATAAGTGGTTTATTGAAGCCATATAGATCAAGAAATGAAAAAACTGAAGCTGTATAAAATTCAGTGGTGTGGTCATGCCTAAACAAAATAAAAATTTTGCCTTTCAATGAAAACTTGTTCTTCATTAATAGGGCTGTGCTTTGAGAATTGGAAAAAGGACTAGCAGGGCCTAGCTTTTTCAGGAAGATAAAAAACTTAGCTTATGAGATATATTTAATTATATATTGTTTCACGATTCTTCAAAAACTGCCACATCTGTTGTTTCACATCACCCTCATAAGAATGTTGTGTAGTAATCAGAGTAGGCTTAAAATCTACTTTAACAATGGAAGAAATTGACACTTGGGGAGGATGTGACTTATTTAATGTTCAACGACTGGAATGAGGTGTAGCTAGATGGTCTTTGTCCTTTCATTGGGTTCTCTCCCATCAGTCCATCTTCACTGAGAAGAGATACTCAGTAAATGTATCCTGCTTGACTGACATAAATATATATATTTAAGAAATTTTAAAATTACAGGATATCAAACTTAGTAAAAAATCTCTAAGCTGTTTTAGAACATAAATGTACTCTACATTACTCCTCTGGTTTAGTGTCTTCAGTTGGCTAGAGTTGAGTTGGCTATGGTCCAATCTTGAAATGTTATTCTTCTTATGAGTGGCTGGGATAATCAGGCAATGAGGGCGAGCAACAGCACAATCTACTTATGGTACTTTGTGGTGCTTAGAGATAAGAGTCACTACAAGTCCCAAAGTATCATAAGCTTTGACTTCTGTAAATGCGAAAGGACCTTGCATAAGGCATTTCTAAGAGATTAAGTTGATTTTCTAAGTGAGAAATGGAACCTCAGAAGCAATAAAATTATGGAACTATTGAGGTTGGTTCTTAATCCAAATCAATAATTTAATCCTCATATAGGTTTAAGAATCAATGTTTTATTTTATTTTTAATATAAAAATCAATCTTTTGAGATGAACATAACCTTTACATGAATATTTTTATCTCCTGAATTACTGTCAAATAAAGTATCTTTGTTATCTTTAAAAGAAGATGTGAATCCTAGGTGAATGGCAAAATGATACTAAAAATCCATGGCTTCCAGTTTACTCAAGACATGCAAATGGGAAATTGATTATAATGTATAAAAGTATCATGTAATTAAGTAATTACATGATACTTTGCGAGGGTGCCACAATTTTTCAGTCTATATTGATAGCAGTGAAAGAAAAAGAGACTTATGCATACTATATAGAGAGAATAGCTAAAGAAAACAGTTTATCAGCACCATAGGAAAGGTTAAAAAAAAGAAAAGAAAAATGAAAGTCTAAAGTGGACATAAAGCATATATGATATTACAAAGAATGGGCTATTGCAGTAAAGCTAAGATGAAAATGAGAAGTGTGATAAAAGGGTTAAGCATTGAGGTTATGGAATTTGGCTAAGGTTTGAATCCTGGTTTTATCACTTACATCTTGAGCAAATTAATCTCTCTGAATTTCATCTTCACCTAAAAATGAGGCAATAATTTTACTCTCTCATAGAGTTTTTTGAGAATTAAAAAGGATAATGTAAATAAAGTGTTGTGCATAGTTCTTGGCACATAGCAAATACTCAATGAAAATTATCTATCATATTATTATAATATAATATATACTATTATTATCTTTTAGATTATCTGATTTTAATCTCAAATAGATTTTCAAAGATTTTGAACATGAAAACCAGAATAAAATAATATTCCCTAAATATATAGTTTGAAATCAATATTGTGAATCCAACTGGTGCATGTCTGCAGTGCCCTTCCTTTCAAGTTAAAACAACAAAAACAATTATGATTTAGTAAGGGAACAAAATCTCCTTTCAGACAATCTTGCCAATTCAGTAAAACTCAAATAATGTAATTTTAATTTAGAAGGCCTTTTTCTATATTGCTTCTAAGGAAAAATTCAATTCAGAAAGCTGATATTCAAATTTTACTCAAATTAATAATTAAAAAAATTTATTATTCTATTAAATTCAACATTTATTTACTGAAGGCCTACAAAATGTCCATAATTTAAAGTAATCTTATTCATCAGACCTTATTAACCCCATAATACTTTTTTTTGCATAAAATCCAGATCCTGCACAAAAACCCACTATACAAGAATAGTATTCATTAGAAATAGCACAGATATGCCTATTAAGTGTTAAGCATCATTTGACTCCACTTTTGTTCCTCTAGAGTAGATATGAAAAGTTAGAGTTTAGTTACTTCAGGGAATAAGATCAGTACAGAAAATAAACACATCTTAGTTACTACCCTCAACCTGGCACACAGCTTGGCAACAAATGCTTTTCTAGAAGATAATAAAAAGAAAAAGTAGTCCAAATCACACCCACATAGCAAGGGTGAGACAGTCACCTTCCCTAGAGTCAATTGCTCATGCTCAGATTATATGAACCACAGGATTGATTTCTATGCAGTCAAATGAAAAGCAAACTCTCTGTCACCCAGGATTTTCATTGTGACAGGGGACACTTTGCTCTGATTTTGAGGAAAAAGGGGATGCGAGCAGAGCATTTTCTTTTGTTGAATATATATACATATATATTATTAAAACAAAGGGAACTATAATGTCATCCAAGGCATTAAAAAGACCCTAACATTTATTTTTCTTTGATATTCTGCCAGCCAGTTGTTTGAGCAATCTTTCTGAGAAGAAAGTTCTTTAGAAAACAACAAACTGCGATAGTTCTCTCAGTTAACCTAGAAGTTAACATAACTATGCCCACGGCCCATTTAACTTAACAGCTTGCCTGTCCTGGAATTGCAGATAGGGCTTGCAATAATCATGTTATGCCACAGTGCTGTGGACCAATTCTTTATCAATTGTTTGGAAATAAGTCAATCCCAAACACTCAGCTCCTCAAATGAAATGACAAAATGTTAAAGAAGATGATTGTACTCCTGAATTGCAGAATCATAAAGGGAAACCTGATTAGGTCATCTGCTGTGACATGCAGAATGTTAATGAAGTTGGGGACTTAACATCTTGGTAAGGGTGAGAGGTGCTTTTCAGCATTAAACAAAGCAAAACTAAAGCTACCCGTGACTGAAAGCTTGCTTTGTAGTTTCACACCAGAGTCCCAATTTTACAGGCAATAGGCAGGAAAGACCACAGCACTCTGTGTGATGTGAAAATATTACCTACCTAGATTTGGAGTGGACGTTATAAGCCAGTTTCTTTTTGTCTAAAATGTAATAGAAAAGCTATACATCTAACAATAAAAAAGGAATTACATTTTGGTGAGGGAATAGTAAAGGTTTCCAGCACTTTCACAGGCCAACCAAATGTCGTCCTCTGCCATGTAAATGCAGTAAAAGGATATCTGCATTAAATTACAGGATTTATAGTCGGCAGAAAAATGAAACCACGTAAAGATCATTTTTGCATTAAAATTTGGTTTTCTCTGCTAGTATATATTTTAAAAATATAGGTGCTTTTTACTAATGAAGTACATCAAAGCACATTATGTTCTGCATTTTGTGAGAACTAGGCAATTTATAAATGCGATTCACATTTAATTAGTAGTCATTTCTTCTCCATAAGCATATTTACTCGGATCTCTTGTTCCTACGGCAACCCAGTGAGTACTACAGCTACGAGAATAGCCTAGACTAACCTAAAAAAGGACAGAGATTAATGAGCAAGCTCAATATTAAGACTATAATGCTCTAAGACCAAGCTCTAAGATTGGTGACGGGAGGATTACAAAGAAAGCTCAAATAAGAATCTCTTATTTCAAGGAAGCTATTTATATAGCAGCACAGATTTTATTTATTCAAGAGTGCCTATAGTATACAGTGAGTACAAGAGATGACTCATTTAGTGCTAAGTTCTGCTTAATTGGCTAACCACGCAGGTACGGTGTCACACATATACATGCATATATACATACATGTATATAATTATCCGCTTAACACACTTATCAAGGGACTATATAAACAACATTACAAGGAGTTGTGCTTATGGATGTTTCCCTTAAATACTGCACTTGTTTAAAAATAGACAGTCTTTAAAATTAGCTTTGATATAAGACGATGTCATTAAACATTTAGTGAAAAATCATCTTAAATCTGAATGTTTATGTTATTTTAAGCATAATTCTCTGATCAGCTTCTTATTCCAGTTGCAATACTCAGCCATTATTAAAGGGTTGACTTGAAAATAAATAACAAAAGCAATATTAAAGGTAACAGAACAAAAATAAATGGGCCACAAAAATCTTGCAGGTTCCCCTTAAAATTCTTCTTACAAGTGACATTTCTTAATTTAAAGATTTAGATGGGAGAGGTAGGTATAAGGAATTGAGGCCTAAATATGTTTCTTTACAAAAAGTTATATAATTTTACAATTTCTTTTAGAGGCAAATTAGAAATAATTAAAAATCTTTTAAACTTTAGGGGGAAAAAATAACAACAACAAAAACCAAACTCCTGGAGTCAAGCTAATTTTGCTTTGCACATTGCAGACGGGTGACAATAATGACTGCATGCTATTTGTCCTAAAATGTCTCATCTCAAAACAATATGTGGGAGAGATAATGAATATCAGGAAGGGCAAATTAGAAATTATATAATCCTTGTTATCGAATCTTGCTTAGTAAAAATGACAGGCTCTCTTTAGAGCTGGGTAGTCCATTCTCACTACAACAACATAGAGGCAACAGCATCGTTACGAAGCTTCTAAATTATCCTGCTTAGTGGCAAGAAGTAAAAATGATTCCTTCTGACCTTTCTACATTGCTTCGTTAACTCTAACTTGCAAGCCACAAGTATAAATGAGAAGCTTTTGCAGCTCCCTCTGATATAACTGATTAAAAGAAGTGGCTACTCAGTATCTGTTCAGGAGACTGGGGACCTCTCATGTGCTAAACCTGGTCAAATTCAGTGTGTGGTCTGAAATGCCTCCCATACATTCACTAATGCTCATTTTGGTTCAACCAGGGCATTTTAATTTGTTTCCTTTTTTGATTCTTGCAGATGTGAAACAGTTTGTATACCTTCTGCTGAGTTTCAGACAATAGTAAAATTATTTTATGTGGCTTCATCAATTTAAAGAATGAAACTATTTTATAAGGATTAATCTGTGCAAATACTGACGGTAAGCCAATTCTGTTGTCTCAAATCCAGCTGTATAATATAATATCAATCCCTTTTTAAAAATACAAAATAGCTCCTACCTATAATTTTTCTTTGTGAAAATGCGCCTTTACCAGCAACGATTGTCTATGCAGTGAATTAATTATACTCAACAATTAAATCACAAGGCATTTCTCTCTCAGATAATCTGTGAATTTGAGTTCAGAATTTCTATAGGTACTTTTGTTCCTGTATGGAGAGTATTTTAATACCAAAGAACACAGCAACTTAAATGCCATTGCCTGGGTTTTATGAAAAAGCAATATAGGAGGGTAAATAGGGCAGATACCAACAACAAAGAACCCCCCCGCCCCACTCCACCATCCACTTTGAATCAAACAATAAATGCAAATAGAAGAACTAAACCAGAGCAGAGAGGTAGGGGGATGAACACTGTGCTCTCAGCATTCCTTCCTGAAAATGCTCACCAGCCTGTTTTAGGCAAGAATATTCTGCTACGTTTAAATATATATATATATATATATCATAATCGGCCATCAGTGAGTCCTCTTCACTCAGCTTCCCAGGTAGAATTAAAACGTAGTCCCAGAGGCACCAAGACATGAAAACTGAGCCCTCTCACCGCAGATAATCAACACAGAAGAGCAGCTAACTTCTTAAATAACCACAATTAAATTGCACACACTCTTCTCCCTTCCTGGTTTTCAAACGTAGGGTTATTTATCAGAGAAGAAAAACTGGAGGCTGCATCTTTAGAAGGCAGCCAGGCACTTCTAACCTAATTAGCGTTAGTCACCTCTGAAAATAAATCCCCTGAATCCTGCAGCTCCAAAGTCACCCCCGCCCCCTCTACTCCTCCATACCCACAAGCACCTGGTCAGAATTGAGCAGCCCGACAGGAACCTTCCTGCCCTGACCCCCAGCAAACAGCGGTAAGAGGGATTTGCCACGACCTTCCAGGAAATCAGGTAAAACAACAACACAGGGGGTGATGCAAGCGATTTGCTTTTTCTGTGTTCAAACTTCATGCCCACGCCACCACAAAATACAGCCCGGAAGCTGCTCCAGCCCGGAAGGCTCCCGGCTCAAACAGAAGGCACAGAAAAGAATGGAGATTTGCAGATCTGATAATGAGCCAGTTAATGACATAAATGATACCTCAAGAACCTCACTAAACCATCCAGGTCCTACAATTTAATCTGTAATAAATACTCCTGCATCATTGCGAGATGGCTGCTCATAATGGCAAATGAAATATGCTGGTATGATAGGTACAATAAATCTGGATTTTCCTATGGTTCCCTCAGGCTAGAACAATATGTAACCACAGTGCGCACTGTCAGGATGAGCAGATCTCAAAGCCATCATAAAATCTAAATGGGGACTAATTAGGAGGCCCTTCCCTTCCAGAGTTACTATTTCTATTGACATTTTCCATGCATGAGCCCCTCCATAACATCGTAAGTCACCAAGATAAGAACTCCCTAGATTATAGGGGAAAAGCTTTAATGGAGAAGTTGAACTCAAAGGCGATGCATAAATTTTCCTTTTGATACTATGGGAAGTCTGTGTTCAGTACTTTCTTTACAAACTTTCAAGTCATGAGCAGGGTACTTTTTAATCCCTCTGCACGCTTTCTTCCTGCCTGGCCCATACCAGTCTCTCTGCACCGGGCGTGTGAGTGTCAGGTGGTGACCAGGGAGGATATTAAAAGAGTGGGCTGCTCGTAAAACTCATGGCTGTGGGTCAGGAGAGTGTCAGGGGGTGCACTTGGCAAGTTGGGTTCTGGGCCAAGGCCTTTTGCCTTGAAGGTTGAAACTTCCCTAAAGGTCACTGACAATTAGACTTTCCTAAGGCTATTGCAAACAGGAATGGGGCAGATTTCCCTAAGCCAGCCCTTTCTATGCTGCAAAACGAATTAAGTATTTTGATACTAGGGTCCCATAGGTCCTTGAGAAAAGGTGAGGGGGGTTATATAGACCAGCATATGTGTGTCTGTGTGTGTGACCTTTGAGTTTGGCTGTGGTGGGAATGAGACCTCCAGGGTCCCTGAAGTAGAAAGCTGGTGGAGAGAAAGCAGGACGTTAGCGTCTGAAAAACTTTCTGTTTTGTTGTCTACCAATGATATGACAAGTTGTTTAACTTTTCTGAGAAAGAAAGTGTTCATTTAAAAGGGGGAATAAAAATAACTAATTCCATAAAGATATTGTGCAGGTTAAAATATATATGTAGGTAATTTGAAAAATAGCCATCAATACTATTACTTTTGAAATTATTTTTTTCATTTCAAATAAATAAAATTAGGAAAATGCCATGAAAAGGGGATGTGCCACCAAGTATTCTTACGTCTCAAAATTTGTTTTGTAAATAGGAAAATCAGATTGTTGGGAATGAGTTGTTTTATGAAACAATCATCTTATACTAAAGAGGCATCTTCCTGTTCCTAGTTTAATTACTCGCAAGCATTATCTTGCTTTTGTATTTGTTATAGTATGTTTGGTTACTGAATGGAAGGCTGAGTAATGAGTGCAGAGCAAAGGCAGTAACACTGAACTGCTCCTTAACAAGACAGCGCTTCGGGGCTCTGTTAGCAGTCTCCTAACAGCCAAGGCTTGGGGTTCTTACTGTCCTTAAACACTTTCTAATCCAGAGTGAGTATCAGTGACAACCAGGGCGACGTATATCTGTGCATAAAGGTGATTAACACAGAAATCTTCAATATAAGAGGTAAATTTGGCTATATTATCTATTGATTTAGCCGCTGGTAAAATACATTCCTGTCCTAGATCATAGTCTACTCTATGCAGTAGATTAAAGGCTGTCTGGTAGATATTTGGTGAATGGTTTTACCTGCAAATACTTTGTTTAGTCTGAATTTAAGATTAAACTGATAGCATCTTAGAAGATAAGTAACAGTTTTGTGTGTGCATCTGTTTATTTTAAATTTATATATAAATGTCTACTTTGTATTCTTGTCTTCCAGTGTGGCTAAGCTTTTTGTTATTGTTTGTTCATTTGTTTGAGACAGGGTCTTGCTGTCACTCAGGTGGAGTGCGGTGGTACAATCTTGGATCACTGCAAACTTTGCCTCCCAGGCTCAAGTGATTATTCTGCCTCAGCCTCCTAAGTAGCTGGGATTACAGGAGCACACCACCACACCTGGCTAATTTTTGTATTTTTAGTAGAGACAAGGTTTCACCATGTTGGCCAGGCTGGTCTTGAACTCCTGACCTCAAGGGATCCGCCTGCCTTGGCCTCTCAAAGTACTGGGATTATAGGCATGAGCCACTGCTTCTGGCCCCAGTGTGGCTAAGTTTGTTTCTTATTATTTTGATCATTGTTATTACCAATCAGCCTTCTAGAAACTTTGCTGAACACATTTCACTTGTTTGTTTTGGTAACTATTGCAAAAAATGTAATTTCTATAATCTAATATTGAAAATTGTGAAAGTATCCTCATATTGTGTATATTAGTCTGTTCTCACATTGCTATAAAGAACTACCCGATACTAGGTAACTTATGAAGAAAAGAGATTTAATTGACTCACAGTTCCACAGGCTATATAGGAAGCATGGTTGGCGGTGGGGGGGCCTCAGGAAACTTACAATCATGGTAGAAGGAGAAGGGGAAGCAAACACATCTTTACGTGGCCAGCGGGAGAGAGAGGGAAGGGGGAAGTGCTATGCACTTTCAAACAACCAGATCTTGTGAGAACTCACTCACTGTCACAAGAAGAGCAAGGGGGAAATCTGCCCTCATGATCCAATCACCTCCCACCAAGTCCCTCCTCCAACATTGGGGATTACAATTCAACGTGAAATTTGGGTGGGGATGCAGAGCCAAACCATATCAATGTGCTATGTGTTATATTTTTATAGAAAATGAAATAATTACCTGTAAACATTATAAGGACATCAATAGAATAGGATAAAATATATTCCAAAGCCTATACAGCTTTCAAACTTTGTAGTTTTTATGAAGTTAAAACCATAAGTTAGATTTAAAGTAGTTTGGAGATACTAGTTAGGTTCCATTTGAGTTTGACTTATAATTTTCTTTCTAAAACCATTTTTCATAATTTGGTAGAATACCTTCTTCTTTCCCACCTCAACTATTGCAAAAAGAAAAAAAATTGTTATTACAAAAGAGGTAAAGGTAATTACGTTATAGGATTTGTTGTACCACTACTGTCCTAAATTAAAAGGTAAGAGAAAATACTGTTTAATACAAATAATTTTTCAAACTTGAGATGTATTTCCTGGGCTCTGAGCAAGCTGTTGGGGTTCAAGGCCATCCAACAGGTCAGAAGTGTTCTCTTAAAAACTGAGACTTGTAGAGAAAAAGGGAGGCTGAAGTCTTTGTGAACTAACATACCTTAGGTTTACAGCCCAGAGTCGAGAATTAAAAATTTAATTTTAGCCTCTCACACACTTGCCTTCATGGGATGTCTTAGTTTGTTTTCTGTTACTATAACAATACCATAGATTGGGTAATTTAGAAAGCAGTTCTCACAGTTCTGGAGGCTGGGAAGTCCAAGAGCATGGTGCTGGCATCTAGTAAGGGACATCTTGTTGCATGATCCCATGGCGGACAAGTGAGTACATGCAAAAAAAGAGGCACCAGGAACTGAACTTGCTTTACAATAAACCACTCTTGTTATAACTAACCCACTCCTGATATAACAACATTAATCCATCCATAAGGGCTCTGCCCTCATGACCCACCCAGTCATCTTCTCCCTACACTGTTGCACTGGGGATTAAGTTTCCAACACATAAATTTTGGAAGGACACATTCAAACCATAGCATGGGGCTTCTGAAATACTGATCAGCTTAGCTCTCATTGGCTCAGAGTTGATTCTAAGGTGTTTAGTAGTTGATATAGTTTGGATGTTTGTCCCCTCCAAATCTCATGTTGAAATGTGATTCCCAATGTTGCAGGTGGAGCCTGGTGGGAGGTGTTTGGGTCATGGTGGCAGATCCTGCATGAATGGCTTTGTGCCCCCTCCCAGGGTAGTGAATTCATGTGAGATCTGGTGGTTTAAAAAACAGTCTAGGCCCTCTCTGTCTTTCTCTCACTTTCTCTCTCACCATGTAAT
The DNA here is from genome assembly GCF_000001405.40 of Homo sapiens. Classification (NCBI taxonomy): domain Eukaryota; kingdom Metazoa; phylum Chordata; class Mammalia; order Primates; family Hominidae; genus Homo; species Homo sapiens. Next base: position 156,807,580 of record NC_000002.12, read on the forward strand.
ATGCCAACTCCCCCTTTGCCTTCTGCCCTGATTATAAGCTTTCTGAGGCCTCACCAGAAGTTGAGCAGATGCTAGTTCCATGCTTGTATAGTCTGTGGAACTGTGAGCCAAATAAACCCTTTTTCTTTATAAATTATCCAGCCTCAGGCATTCCTTAATAGCAATGCAAATGGACTAGCACAGTAGTTACAGATTTTTCACTCAATAAATATTTATTTTATATCTGTTCCGTGCTAAACACTATTCTAGGTGAAACAGCATTGTACAAAACAGGCAAAACCTGGCCTTTGTAGAATTTGTGTTCTACTATATGGAGAAAGACAATAAATAAATATACAAGTAAATTCAAAATATGTTGGATGGTGATAAATGCTATGAAGAGAACTGAAACAGTGTTGAAGGGATTAGTAGTGAGGGGTACAGAGGAAGGCACTGATATTTGATATGGGACAATCAGGCAAGGTCTCACTGAGAAAATGACATTGGAGCAAAGACCTGAAGTTGATGAGGGATCCAGCATTGTGGATATGTGGAAGTAAGGCATTTCAGATAGAGGCAGTAGCAAATATCCTGTGGTAGGGCAGGCATGGTGCCTTTAAAAAACATGGAATGTTGGTATGGGGAAGGGAGTAAAGAGGAAACCAATAAAAAGTAAGGTCATTGACGTGGCAACTGGCTAGCTGGTGTAGGGCCTGGTGACTACTGTAAAGATAGTGACTTTTAATTTCAGTAAGAAAGGAAGACTCTGAGAAGAGGAATGAGAAGATCTTGCATTTTTAGACTATCAATCATTCCAACCACTGTATTGAAATTAACCTGGGAATGGAAGAGGTGAGGGCTTGGCAGCCAGGGTAGAAGCAGGGAGAGTGGTAACGATTGACTGTGGTAATTCAGGTGAGAGGTAATGGGGGTTGGGACCAGATTGGTACAGCTTGAAGAAGTGGTCAGATTTGGGATATTTTAAAAGCACAATATAGAGAATTTGTGAAAAGATTCAATGAGCCCATGAATGAAAGACAGGAATGAGAAAAGGAAGGACTAAATACTCTTTAAATATTTATTTAATAGTAAACACTGATCATACTCTCAGACTAACATAGGAGACAAAATGATTATTTTGTTGTATGCTGTCCCTCAGTGTATACCTGTCCATCCACTCAACAAACACAATAGACGCTGATTGAATACCCACCATGTGCCAGGTTCAGTGCTGGCAATACAACGGTTAACAAGGCAGATAGATGATTTCCTCAGAGAGACTGAGCTCATGTTTGAGTGAGAGACGAGGAGCAGGCAAATAAAAAGCAACCAAAAAATAAAGAAGTTTGTGGTGTCTGCTGTGAAATAAATAGCAATGTTGATGTTCTTAAGAGAAATAGCCACTGTCCTGAATAATCTTTAGGTTCACTCTCCTGATGATGACTTGTAAAAAGGATACTGCTTCCAAAATTTCTGCCCACTCCAGAGTGAATGTTTCTTTGCTGAATAGGTGGTACTGATCATTAATGAAGTCAGGATTCCAGACTCATAAAGAAATAGAATCATATGAAAGAGTCACAAACGAATGTGAAATATCTACTGGATATGCAAAGAAAATACCCCAAATCTAAGAAGATGTAGAAAACCAAAATCATGCTTGTACTGGACAAATATAGAAAGACCCATTCTGTTTCTGTTTTATTCTTCATTTTAAGCTAAGGAAAAATGATTTGCTGCTAGTTATGAAGATGAAAACTCCCATTGAAAGTTGATTTTTATTAAAAGTGTGTTTAGCCAAATTGGATAATTCAGATGATGAAACTGAGTTTTGAGGTTTTGGTTATTTGCTTAGCCTAAATTCAGCAGATAATTGCTTCACAACTTCTTTGGATGAACCTATTTGTTCTTGTAATTTTAACTATTACACCTAATGAGAACATTCAAGTCCCTATTTTTCTAGCCCCAAGAATCCACTGTGCTTCTGGCTCCTATACCTAAGTGTTGGCTAGACTTATCCATCAGTATGACATACAGATGCTTTAGAGTCTGCACGTTATCATGCTGCCATTTGTATATCTTTCTAAACTAATTTAGCTAGCTTCTTCACGTGAATCTTCTCTCATTAAGTAGACATTAAACCATCTAACCAATCATCAAAACAAAAACTAGTTTTCTTCTGCTTCCTCAGCCTTCATACACAAACACTAATAAACCCTTACCAATATCTTTTAGTCAGCATAGACTAGGTTACTCACTAGTAGCAAGTGATACCCAAATCTCAGTGGCTTCACACAACAAATGTTTATTTATCATTCTCCAAAAGTCTTCTGCATTAGCCCTCCTTGTGAAGATTCAGCATTATATCCATCTTTGTTCTTATAGGAAGCCCATTGTAATGTGCTTCCACAAACACCATGGCAGGGAACTGAACAACGGCAGGTCATGGACAGGCTCTTCCATGTTTTCACCCAGAAGTGCCGTATGTCCTCCTTATCCACAGCCTATTGGCCAGAGCTAATCACATGGCACCACCCACAACCAGGGACCTGAGAACTGCAGTTTTGCATGTGCCCCAAAGGGCAGGTGAACACGCTCATGGTATCTTCCAAACACGTCTCAATGTTTTTTACCCATCTTGAAATACCTCAATGCCTCCCATCATCTATGGAATGCAATACAGTACCCACAGTTCTGTGCATCTTGCTCTCTTACACTCCCCACTCACCAAGTGAAATGACTCACATGGAAAGTTGCCTGACATGCTTTTCTTCCTTCTGTACCTAGCTAACATGCAGTGATCCTGAGAATAGAGATCAAGCCACATTTTCTCCAAAAGGCATTGCTGATCCTCAGGTTGTGCCATACATAGTCCTTGGTGCTATCAGAGCTCTCAGCACATGCCTTTAGTAGACCAAAGTATTTTGGTGCTAATTATTGCATTAGCACACCAAAGTATTTTTTACACAGCTATCAAACTCCAACCCCTGGATTAGAAATTCCTCAAGAGCAGATACATGTACAATTCACCTGTATCTCCAGCACTTAGTACAGAGCCTGGCACATAGGTGACTTTTATAAATGTTTGCTGAATTAAACTATTATTTAGATCTTACTACTTTATTTGGAATTTGAATATCATATCTAGTATTTGGAGATGCTAAAAACAATAAGGCACAGTAGAATTTGTGTGGTTTAGGTTAGAGAAAAGTGATTAGGTTCCCATTAATTGATGCACAATAGGTAAATGTTAGTGAATTTGGTTCTTCCTTTTTTTGTAGTAGTCTTAAGACTAAAATCTAGTTTTGAGGGGAGTGCAGTGGTCAGAATCCAATTCAGTTCTCTCTCCTTTACCTTCCTTCCTTTTGAAAATGTATGGGCTGTGTAGTGTTTTTTGAAAGTAGTGTGTTTTAAAAAAGAATTTCTGAGCTCTTTGCTACAGACAAATTGTTAAGCTCAAAAAGTACTTTATGAACTACTATATCCTCCTTTTAGTCTAGATGTGGGAAATCTAGAAACAATATGTGAAAAAGAAAGAAGACCCACAGCAAAACCTACCCAAACATATGCCCAAAGATACATGCTCATGGAAAACTTAGATTATCAGAATTACACCCCAAGTAAATAATGATTCCTGGACTTCCTAGGTTAAAGTTATCTTATTTATGTTCATAAAATATTAATATTAATATACATGATCCACTCAAGTATTTGTAAAATAAATTATTTACTGGGCAAATTACATGTGTGACAAATAAAAGTATTAAGTTACATTAATAATTTGTAAAGCAAGTAGAAGTGGATAGAAGTATTTTGAGTGGGCTCCATTTTTCTTATTTATGTAATGAGGTTGCTAGAATAGATAATACTTATGATTTAGTAATATCTTAAGAATCTATGAATAGAAATACAAAGGCATGAGGGTACAGTGGAATGGATTGACCACACTGAAGATTTGGGAAAGCAGTAAGAGAATTTTTAGAATTGTAAAGGGTGTTCACGAATAATGAAAGACCTACACTCAAAACCTGATAGATAATTTTTATTGAAATAAAATAATATAACAAGATACTAGTCATCAGTCTAAATACTTCAGATGTATTATTTTATTGAATCTATACAATAGCACTGTTGGGTGCATACTGGTAATATCTCCATTTTAGAGACAAGGAAACTGAATCTCAGAGAAAGTAAGCAATTTATCCAGAATCACAAAGCTATGAAGTGGAAGTGCCTAATTTGAAAGTAGGCAAGTCTGAAATAGCCCATGCTATTAATATTAATAATATTCTATTTCCTATCGAAGTTTGGCTTCTTTTCATCCTGATTGCCAAAATATGCTTTTTTATTTTTCTCTCAGGTAATCTCACGCTACTGAATTACAAGCTTTTCAGAACTTCTTTCAATTTTGTGATGAAATAACTATTTGATATATTGTACTTAAAAAAAAAGCATGAGCCACATCAAAAATGAGTAAGCATTAGCGCTCACCCCTAAATTACTTTTGCTGTAGGGTCTTTCTTCTGGGTATGAAGTCTTTGTTCCCCATTTGAGTCAAATTTATATTGTCTCAGTTTGCGAGTTAATTTTTTTTCCTTCAATGACCTACAGAATCTTATCCTAATGACAGCCATAAGGCCTTCTGAATACGGCCTTCTGATGATTAAACTTTGGGATGCCTAGGATCATTCTGATAGAAGGTTTAATACTTTAAAATGCAAATCTGGTCATCTGGGATGTCCAAGTAGATAATCATCACTTCTTAACATTAATGATTTCTATGGATTTTTTTTAGAAAGTACTACATTTCTCCTTTTCCATGGTTTGTGTTGAGATTGATTGTCACTTGTGTGTATATGTATGTGTGTGTAATAACATTTAATAATATATAAATATAATGTAATGATATACACATACACACACATACATTCGACTTTCAGCAAAGATAGCATAAGAAAACTTTCAACATTTGCTACATATTATATAAGAACCAGTGAAAGATATCACTGAGGAGAAAAATGAGGTTGACATGTTAGCCAAGAAAGTCTAGATTATGCTGTAATACTAACAATCCTGCATTTTCAGTAACTTATCACAAAATGGTTTATTTCTCAATCACACCATAAACCGAACACAGCCTTGTGTGTGCAGCTGCTGGTAGTGGCAGCAGCATGCTGGGGTCTCTGCTCAATGCCTGATGCAGATGTAAGTTTCATCTCAATATATGCTTCAACACAATCCATGAAAAGGAAAAGGACATGTTGAACCATTTACTGGCTCTGAAAGCTTCTGCTTGGAAATGTGCTACTCCCTTCCTTTTTCAATTCATTTGTCAAAGCAAATCACATGAAGAAGCCTAAATTCCAAAGAAGCAGTTTAAAGAAGCGCAATCTACCACCATCCTAGAAGGTAGGAGTTGGAAATACTTGGTGGACAGCTGTCATGACTACTACAGTATAGAAGTCAGATCTGAAATGCACGAAAGATCTAATAAACTTCAAAAAGTTCTAGCCAATATTACTTAAAATGAAGAAAGGTTTTTGCAAAACATAAAACTTTCCTTCAGGACAAACTAAAGAATTATTACAGTAACTGACTAATTTTCCCTAATTTCAGAGGACAAGCACTATAATTACGGGAATGCCATGGAAGACATAGGCATTAAAAATTTTTAGTTGGCGATTGAATTGTAATCCAAGGATATAAAGGCAGGACTAAAAGAAGAAGTGTGTATAGGCTTATCTCTTTCCAACTCCCAATGTGGCTTCTTAACTGGATTGCAGTCTTTCTCCTTCTACTTTGGAAATGGTGTGGACAATTGAGAACCATGGATATATAGCTACTGATTTACTTAGTCCCATTTTTAAAACTGTGGATGAACAGTAGCAAATAAAGTTGCAGAGTATTTTCAATAATTGTACCTTCACCAAATTGAAAAAAAAAACCACTTTGTGTTTTCTGTAATCTGTTTTCTCAACAACATGCCTCACTCCAAAGAGAGGAATTCTCTCTAGAACTGGAGGGAAAACTACTCAGTCAGGACAAAGTGCTTTTCAAATTTAGCAGATAGCAAATAAAAGGGAACCCAGGTGCAGAACGAAAGTCAGTTGAACCTCAAAATTACCTGAAGACACTGCTGCGTCTAGCCATATAATTGGTAACAGACTAGTCTTCCCATTGAAAACACCTGTAAAACTTGGCAAATATATATGAAATAACCATTTTTAGATATTGGAAACAAGGAAGTGTAAGATGGTAATCTATGAGGGAAGGTGAATAAGCAAGGTGAGTACCGTGACCGTACCCATTCTCTGCCTGCCGTGCAGGAATGAAAAGCTCAAATAGAGCATGGCAGTCTCACTGAGTTGAATAGACAGATACCAGTGTTCAGAGAAGCTGGAATTGTGAAGCAGAATACCAGTGGAAAAAAGCTATTCAGATAAGGAAGATAAGGAACCCCAAAAGTCTATATAGGGGCTTATTAAGTCTTTGGCCTAATACTATAAAGATCATACATATGCAGGGCAAGACTCTACAATATGAGGCAAAGAATAGCCACATAAAAAAAGAACAAGTGCCAGGAAAAGAACCACAACAAGTAAACTGAGCAACATAGTCAAAGTGCAGTGACATTATTGAACACTTGGAGCATTGGGTAGAGACCCTAAAAGTGTCACCCTGTATTACTGGGACTACACCAGAACTAGAGAAAAGGCTGCTCTAGACTTACTCTAACAAATTTTGAAAGGATCGAGCCATGTAGAAGTAAACTAACATCCTACTAGAACAAACCTCAACGTTATTAAGGAAGATATCAAAATCCAGATATTCAACAGTGTAACATTCATAAAGTCCACCATCCAATAAAAATTACTAGAACTGGGAAGAAGTAGGAAAATGTGACTCATAACTCACAGAAACACATCAGAATGATAGAGATGATGAAAATAGTCATCAGATACTTAAAAGAACTAGTATTAATATAGTAAAGTTTCAAAGAAAACATGAATATAACAGAGGTACAAGTAGGGAATCTCAATGAAAAAAATGGAAGCAATGGAAACAAACCAAATGGAAATTGTAGAAGTAACAAGTTCAACATCTGACATGGACATTTCTATTGCTTTGTGTTCAATTTGATCATATCTTCATTTCAGGATTTCCTTTGGTTGCGTGCTTTTAAAAATATCTTCATTTTCTATTCTCATTTACATTTATGTCTTACTTTAATTCCTTTTCTATCTTTATGAGTCTTTTTGTGCTAATTACATTATATTTCTAACTTTTGTCTCTTTCTGTATTTTCATTTTTTTCCTTCTGTTTATAGGTAACATTTTTCAGCTTCTTCCTATTTTTCCAATTTTTTTGTTAGATGCTGGGCATTGTTAACATTAAATTGTTGAATGTCTGAATTCTTTTGTCTCTCTGTATTAAAGTACTTTTCACAGGCAATTCTTTTACTTGCAGATAACCAAAACCCCTAAACCCATGATTTGTAGAGTAATTCAGCTTACCACTGCATAGTAAATCAACGACTGGCCTTGAAGGGTTTTGCCCTAAGCATCCACAGCTTAATGATTGGCAGTAGAAGCAATGAGACCCTGATGAAAACTTCTGGGGCTCTTTCTATGCATACCTACTTTATCACTAATACTTGCTCTGTATAAAGGCCAATTTGCAAAAATCAGTTGTATTTTCAAATACCTACAATTAACAATAGAAAAATAATGTTTAAAAAATACCATGCATAACAGCATTCAAAGCATCATATGCTTACATATAAATTTAACAAGTGTATGTAAGACTTGTACACTAAAATTAACAAGGCATTGTTAAGAAAAATGAAATTCTTAAATGAATAGAGATATATCATGATACAGATTGCAACATAATGTTCTCAAGAACTAAATTTTCTTCAAATCAATCTATTGGTTCAATGCAATCAATCTCAGTCAAAATCTAGAAAGGGTTTTGGTAGAAATTGACATGATGATTGTAAAATCTGTATGGACTTTCAAGGAACCTAGAATAGCCAAACAATTTTGAAAAAGAAGAGCTGAGTTTGAACATTTAAACTATTAATACACAATCTCAAGACTTAATGTAATGAAACTCCAGTAATCAAGACTGATTTATATCAAGATAGCTATAAAGATTTTTTAAAACTGTCAGAAAGAATACAGAGTCCAGACAAAGACTACACTTCTATAGTCAAAAATTTTAATGAAGGAACTGGAACAATTAAATGGAGAAAGACAAATCTTTTCAATATATGGTTCTGGAAAAACTGCCTATGTGGGGGAAAAAATAAGCCTTCAATCATATCTCAGATCATATATAACAATTAATTCAAGACAAATCATAGACCTAAACATAAAGTATAATACTCTACAGTTTCTTGTAGAAAGCAAGAGAAAATCTTCATGACCACGTGGTGTAGAAAAAAATTTAAGAACTGGATCCAAAATCCTTATTTATGAAAGAAAAATAGATTAAATGTATGTAATCCCAGTTTAAGATGCCAATTAAAAGATACCACTAAGAAAATGATAAATAAGCAAGTCTCAGATTGTGAGGAAATGTTCATGATATGTTTATGAAATAATGTTATATTTCAAAAGGACTTCCGTCCAGAACACATATACAAATCTTACAATCCAATACTAAAATATAAATGAACCCACAAAAATAATAGACAAAAGACTTGAACAGGAAATTTATAAAGGAAGATATAGAAATGGTCAATAGAAACCTTTAAAAATGTTCAACATGATTAAAGAAATGAAAACAAAAACCACTAGTGTTACTGGCACAGACCCAGTAGAATGATAAAAATTTTTAAAAGATTGGCGCAATGGGAAAAGGTCAGTTTTATCAACAAAAGATGCTGGAAAAACTGGATATCTACATGAAAAGAAGAAAGTTAGACCCTTAGCCTGAACCTTATATAAAAATTCATTTAAATGGACCAAAGACCTTAATGTAAGTGCTAAAACTGTAAAACTCTTAACAGAAAACGTAGGGGAAGATCTTCATGACATTGAATTTGGCAATGATTTCTTGCGCATGACACCAAAAGAAAAAAGTAGATAACTTGGACTTCACCAAAATTTAAAACTTTTGTGTATGAAAGGACACCATCAAGGGAATGAAAAGACAACCCACAGAATGGGATTAAATATTTGCCAATCATGTATCTGATGAGAGGTTAACATTCAGACCATATAAAGAACTCCTATCACTCAACAACAATAACCATTATGAAGCCCATTATAAAAATTTAGAAAAAGACATGAAAGTAGATCAATAAATGGAGAGAGAGACTACATTCATGGATTGAATAATTCAACATCTTAAAAATATATTGATGTATAGATGCAGTATATTTCCACTTAAAATACCAGCAGGATAATTGGAGGGAGAGAGAGACAGTTTGACAAATTGAATTAAAATTTATGTGGAATGGCAACGAGCCAAGAAGTATCAAGATATTTTGAAAGAAGAACAAAGTGATGAAAACTTGCTAAAGTAACTAGGAAAGTGAGGCAGTGGTATTTGGATATGGAAACTATCAGTGGAACACAATAGAGATCCAAAATGAGGCTCACATATAGAATCTTGATATATGACAGAACTGACATTGAAGACAAACAGGTTAATAAATAGTACAGTGAAAACTGCTTATCTACATGTAAAAGAAAACAAACTGGGTTCCTAGTTCACACAATAAAGAAATCAATGCTAGATAAATTAAAAATCTAAATGTGAAAGAAAATGTAGCTGATTATCTTTATAACTGAGTTAGAATACAATTTCTTAAATAAGACTCAAAAATTGTAAGCAAAATAAGTGGAAAAAAATTCGCCATATTAAGAACTTCTGTTAAACAAAGAAAACAGAGAAAGTAAAAAGATAAGTCACATAAATATCTTTGCAAGGTATACATCATCAGATAAAATATTAATCTCTAGAATATCTATATTATACACACACAGGTGGTAGAAATATAAATATAATAACTTTGGAAAACTATGTAACATTTATTAAGGCTGAAAATGTACATACTTTTAATGACTCAGCAATTCCATTCTTAGGGATATATCCTAGAGAAAACCTTGAACATATATAGATGGAAACGTACAAAAATTTTTATAATAGCTTTGCTTAAAATTAACAAAAATCTGGAAATAATCTAATTGTCTATTGACAGGTAAACTCAACAATAGTGATAACTTATACACTGCAACACAAAACAGAAAGGAAAAGTAGGTGAATCAAAGGTACATGCATCAACATAAGATAAGAATCATAAGCATACTATGATTGGAAATAAGTTGCAGAAAAATGCTCATTCTGTGATATCATTTATATATAATATTCACAAACCTGTAAAACTAAACAATTAGGCATCTCTCATTTTCAGTAAGAGTTTATTTTCAATTTGAGCTGAAGTTCTTTTACTTATGCTGAAAATAGACCTAACTAGTATGGTAGGAGTTTGCAAGAAGACAGTAGATGAGGAGAGAGAGTGGGAGAGCTCTCAGAACCTCTGGCACAATGTCTTGAGGCAGGGAGATATTCCAGAGGCTATAGATGCAAGTATGTGAATGTTCAAAGGCTGGCAAGACAGATAGCTTGACAAGGTGAGAGACAGCAAGGGGGAGCATGAAAAAAGATAGATGCTGATGTAGGATTTTTCTTCTCAGTCACTTTGCAAGATAGCGACCCCCGGCTGGCAAGGCCCCTTCCAGGCCTTGCTTGGCTAGCTTGTACCTGCATTTGGGGGTTTCCAAGCTCTTGTACCACCCCCAAGAATGAAGTCACTGAAGGGTGAGGAGGGCAGAGAAGAATTTTACTGAGCAACGAAACAGCTGTCAGTGGAGAGAGGATGCGAGGGGTAGTCCCCCACCCCCACAGTCAGGAAAGTTCCTCCGTGTGGCTGGGTCTGGGGCCTTTTATGGACTCAGAATGCGGTGTGTGTGCTGATTGGTTTGTGAGTATGCAAAAAAGGTTAAAGCAAAGAGACCACTCAAGGTGGGCATGACACTGTGGAAAGCCAATTAGGAAAGGGTAGGTATATGTAAAATACGTGAAGAATGGGGACAATCAGGAAAGCGTGCCAAACAGGAAGAGAGGTTCTCAACCTGGTCCAAGGATTTAACTGGTAGCTTGTCTTTCAGGTTTTAACCTGTGTTTGGCTTGGAAGTGGGGTTTCACTGGGGACCTGCCCCTTTGTGCCTAGGCATTTGGCTGCTTCCTGCCACTCCCAGTGCTAAATGTGAAAGTGGCACATCTCTGACCTGACTTGTCCCTATTGTAAAAATACATTTTATCTCTATTTTTGTATGTGAGGACTGAGTGTGGGGTAAGCAGTGGGGACAGAATGGCAGCTCAGGGTTTTATGAGGGTCGCTTTGATCTGTACAGCTCTATTAGCAGTAGCTGACCAATAAGAAAAGGAAGTAATCTTCCTATGTATTTGGCAGTAGCAAGGTCTCCAGTACTCACAGCCTGTTCCAGTTTGAGGGAAGCACGACTGACACAGAATTTGGAGAGAGTCCAGAAGCAATCAACAAAATGATAAAATGGCTGAGAAATGGGTCCTCTGAGGAAAAGTTAAAGGAGCTGGGCTTTTAAGCCTAGAGAAGAAGAAACCTAAGGCTGATATAACTTCCGGAATATGAGTGGTTATTGTAAGGATGACAGAGACCAGCTGTTCTTCCTGATCACAGAGACTCAAACTGCAGGAAATGAGCTAAAACTGCAGCAAGAGAGATTTATATTAGATAGAAGGAACAACTTCACAGAGTGTGAGAAACTTACATTCTATTCCACGACATTAAAAAACTTAAAACTACCTGCTCTACAGAGCCTTCAGAACAACATGGTTTGAGGATGGTTTGGGGATCTGATAGACTCTATAGGTTCCTCTACCATTATTCTGTTTATAGTCTCAATTTCCAGGCTTTACCGAAAGTTTTGATTCCTATTAGTTCCAGGTGGCAATTTAGACCTATGTTACATTCTTAGAGGATATTTAGCAAAACTTAAAGAAAGAAGGATTTGAATCTTACATAGGTGTCTTCTTAATATCCAAACAAACATTTATGTGCCTGAGATTTAAAATGGTATTTCAAGTTAAAGGCACCTATGACTTTAATAAAAGCTTGTATGTATAATGTTGAAGAGGAAATAATAAAATGCATTGTTTATTTAGAACTAACAGAATTTCCCTTTAAAAAGCACAATCTAGAAATTATGTAAAAGCATTCCTGTTTCCTAATGTGAGGTAAGAATTAAAAAAAAAAAAACCCTCCATGGAAACATCTTATTTCAGGCAGATAGTGTTTGATACACACTCCTTATATCAAAAACATTCTTCTCTGTGAGTTAGAAGAAACTTTATCACAGTTTTACACAAAGAGTATCCCTATAGTATTATTAGAGGTAGTTCACATGTTCATCATAGACTCCAATGAGATACCCTGAATGAATATCTTATCTTGATATATAACCCTGTGTCTTACGTTGGAATTTAAGAACTTGAAGGTGTTGCAAACCTCCTACATACTTGAGTTGAGACTTTGATTAAAGGAAATCGCTTAGAGAACACAAGAGAGCACTATAGTTAGGGAGATATTGATGGTCTTAAGTCTTTGGTCTTTGCAGGACTGGCTTTCGATCTTCATTTTGGGTTGATCTCTAAGAACAGGAAGTAATCCTTGCAGCAAATTTGGCAGTAGCAAAGTCTTCACTTTTTTAACTATGTAAGTGGCTTCATTGCTCTAGAAGTAATTTACTATTATCCATACATTCCTTTGCAGGTACAATATAAAATGTCCACTTCCTACTTTCTGTGGCATCAAGAAATTTCTGGATCCAAATCCCAATTCATCCTTTCTGTCTTGAGCAATTATTACTGCACATTTCTTTTTTTTTTTTTTTTTGAGATGGAGTCTCGCTCTGTCGCCTAGGCTGGAGTGCAGTGGCGTGATCTCGGCTCACTGCAAGCTCCTCCTCCTGGGTTCACACCATTCTCCTGCCTCAGCCTCCCGAGTAGCTGGGACTACAGGCGCCCGACACCACTCCCAGCTAATTTTTTGTATTTTTAGTAGAGACAGGGTTTCACTGTGTTAGCCAGGATGGTCTCGATCTCCTGACCTTGTGATCCGCCCGCCTCAGCCTCCCAAAGTGCTGGGATTACAGGCGTGAGCCACTGTGCCTGGTCTATTATTACACACTTCTAACTGAAGGTCCATGTGCAACGAAACTTTATTCTTCCCATTTTTCCATAACTGACCCAGACTTCTATTTCTCTTTGCAAAACTATTGTAACCCAGGGCCGGCTCTACCCTCTCCATTATCAGCCCCAGTTCCTGCAGACCTCAGCCAAGGTTACAGCCCTGTCACACTCTCTTGCTTTGTTTTTCTTGCTTTGTTTTCTTCAGAAAGAAGAGTCTAGACAACAGTTTGGACAAGGGCGACCACAAGTCTAACCACTTCAGCCACTTTGAAGTGGTAAAGAGAAAGCTTTTGAAGGGATAGTAAAATGTCTAAATCACTCTTTTCAAAATGGCGCTGTAACCTGTGTCTTGAGTTGTATGATTATCGTCAGATATGAGATTGGAAATACTTTGGTTAAGAATGCTATTTGTGGCCAGGTGCAGTTAAAGGTGCCAACAGGGTCCAGCCATATCAGAGAAGGGGCTTTCAAGGCCTTACTAGATTTTATAATGGCCTTACCCAAGTGTTCTGGTCAGAGAGAACTGTTAATTCTACCAAAAGGTCCAGCGCAAATTAAGAATTAAGCAGAGTGCTGAACTGAGTTCCTTATAGAAGCAGCCCTTAAAATGATTCATTTCTCTCAGCTGTAAAAACAAAAATAGTGTTATAAAACTTATGAGATAATGCTTGTTATAGAACATGCATGATCTATAATAAGCATGAATGTTAAAGCATGAATAAACATGAAGTTAAAATGTTTTAATTATTTCTATAATAACTTATTCTACATTGATATTCTATTCTGATAATATAATATATTGATATATTATCATTAACATACATGATAATATATATCATTCTGTAATACATTATAATATATAATGCTATATATAATATTCTATTATAGAATAATATAGAATAATAATTCTATAATATATAATTATATAATGACAGAATTATAATATTCAATATTATTATTCAATTATTATTATTACTTTCTTCAGCATGGAAGCTACTGGATAATCTAGTAGTCTTGTTTTGAATACAGAGTGGTTCATTTACAGAGGTTCTTGAAGGTGCTAAAAGGCATAAGAAATATCAAAGTCTAGGCAGGAGTAGCCATGGGAGGAATATGGAGATGGCTTGGCTAAGAAACCATGTTTCTTGGAGAACTCCACCTTTCTTTTACTGCTTAGCATGAGCCAACACGATGGGTAAAAGTCCATCATTCCCATAATCCCCTCAACATTTTGGAAAAAGTAATCTTTTATTATACTGAAGGGAAGCAAAATATCTCATCTCAATAAAACCTATTAAGGTTTTATTTAGGTTTAGAATTCAAGAACTCCAGATAGTGGTTCAAGCTAACTGCAGAGACCCCAAGCAGTTACATATTTTTCAAGTCCCAAATTAACAAGACCAAATTAAAGATAAAAGGGAGACCTTTAATAATAGATTTTAATTAAAATACAAAAGGTTTATCGAATACTATCTTTCTACATTGCAATGTGATGGTGACATAGGTGACATTTTACAGTATCAGAGAACATGCTGCTTCATCAGTCTTCATCTTACATAAATTCCGAGAAGATGCTAATCTCAAAATTTTCAAGAAATTGAGGGAAAAATCCTAACTATAATTTAATGAGCTCTTCCTACCTGTGCCAGTTTCCCTGTGTATTATATAATTTAATCTTCTTAACAACATTTTAGGTAGGATATTACCCAAGCAGACAGAAGAAAATTATGACTCAGAAAAATGAAATCCTTTGCTCAAGGTCATTCAGCTGATAAATAGGGCCAGGATTTAAATGCATCAGTCTGAATCTAGACCGGTGTTTTTTTCTTCATTATCTCCTTCCCTAAGAAATGATATAGAGCTTTTCTTTTATTCCAGAATAAATGCTGCAAGGAAGATTCTGGCCTTACAAAGTACTGGTAGGCATGGATTCTTCCAATGGAACAGCCCCCCAGAGATTCATAGAAGAGCTGTGTGCTCCTTTATGCTCTGCTCCCACACCCATGAAGAGGCTATAAGAGTTTCACAATACACAAAATATAACCCAGATACTTACATTAAATCAAATGACTTTCTGAAGTTCCCACAGGGGACTTGAGGTATGCTGGGGTCAGACACTATGCAGGTTTCCTTTCACAATAGTGGATACAAAGATACCCTTATTTCTTCTCCATTGCTATAGGATGTTTAGTCTTTCTCAGATAAACTCAATTTTACAAAGACATATTTATACTATACAACAGGGGTAAAAATTAACTCGGAGAATTAACCAAACAGGTCAGTTGTGGTGGCTCACACTTGTAATATAAGAACTTTGGGAGACTGAAGTGGGAGGATAGCTTGAGGCCAGCAGTTTGAGATCAGCCTGCCAATATAGGGAGACCCCATCTCTACAAAAAAGTAAAAAATTAGCAGAGTATGTTGGCGCACACCTGTAGTCCTAGCTACTTGAGAGGCTGAGGTAGGATTGCTTGATCCCAGGAGGTCAAGGTTGTAGTGAGCCGTGATTATGCCACTCCACTCCAGTGCGGGTGACAGAGCAAGACCCCATCTCAAAATAAATAAATAAATAAATAAATAGAATTAGCCAAGCATCTAATAACATTTACATTTCAGTTAATTTCATAAAGGAAACTTTTCTCCAAATAGAGTGTCTAAAGCACTATACAGTCACTATTTGAAAGCTCCAAGTCTGAAATGACAAAGGAACATAGAGGTCATGAGATTGTTTGAATAAATATATGAATTAGAAACTCAGATATTTCTGAGACTTAAGGGAGAGATGGAACCACACAATATTTGTTACATTAATATGTGCCTGTATCATAGAATGTCATTATTTAGAAGTGATTGTGAACTATGGAAACTCTAATAGTGACTAAATAAAAGATAAAGAGCTAACCTTCAGGTAAAGGATAGCTTGGTATGAGAATGAACGGGTTTGCTACTGAAGGATGAATAGCAGCAGCTGAATGAGATAAGAGGCCTCTTTGATTTTAATGCCCTTCAATATTATTTATGATAAGGCATCGAAAAGGCAAAGAAATGGGCACAAACTGACACATTAGTTTTCAATATCTGGAACCTAGTCATTTATGATCTTGAAGTCCAGAAACTATGGTGTCCCAACTTGTTATTAAAACAAGTGACAGTTTTCATGTTTATCGGCCTAGATTGTGGATAAAACTGCTCTTTTCCAGATCAATTTTTGATAACTTAAGAAACAGTAGTCTCTACCACTTGCCAAAGACAACTATTGCTAATACTTCTGATTTTCCAAGAAGAAATAGGGTTAAAATTAATCCTGTGTAGCTTCTTACATATTAGGCAGAACTAGTTATATACTTTGTTGAATAGAATGAAATAGTTATTTAAAACTTGTAAGAATAACTTTTTCTTTTCTTGCTTATCTGTTTTCATTTTTTTGTTATTGTTTGTTTTTACATTCTTTCTTTTCCTTAAGGGAAAATACTTCCCTCCCATCTCCTTGACTGAATGACTATGGATGTGATGCAGTCTAGATCAATCATATTCTCTCCTGGGGCCTTTAATTTGTAGTAGAGAACTGGATACAATGCAGTCCAGATTCTAATATCTGAAAACAGCTCCCTGGCCAAGAAGTCTGTGACTTACCCATGTCCCTGCCCTTCTTGTCTAGCTTTTTTTTTCAAAAAAAAAAAAACAAAACTCTATGAGTTACACTATGTGTATGTAACTTTTTACTCAAATTAGTCAAAGTCACTCTGCTTAATACTAAGAATGTTGTCTAATATACCTGTCTTTTGAAGCCCTTCAGTCACAGTCGAAATGAAGACAACTTACAGAGTTAATTTGGAGGCAAAGAATGATTTTATATTATAAGGCATAAGATAGCACAATAAATAAGTTATTTAGAAAGATAGTTAGGAATCCCGGAAGTCTGCCTCAGTCTCCAGTGGTGTGCAATTCTTTATTTGGTGCTCTGTCCGTATTACCTAGACACCACAGCCAAAGACAGGGATAGTGAACATACAGACATTGACCAATGTTTTTAATAGATCAGAAAACAAAGTTGCTTCAGACTGGAAATTCATAAGGCGAGTGGTCCCATATCATCCTCACCTAACTCTACCTTAGCAGCTTTTTATTTGAAGTCACCATTTTAAGGAAAAGACAAATGCCTCAATGGGTTTGAAAATTGAATTTCTTTACATACTTGCATTTGCAATATATATATATATATATGTATGTTTTTTCTAATGAAGTAAACTATTTATGGCAGGGAAAGCAATCTGTATAGCCTGTGGGCCAAATCTGATCCTTGCCCTGTTTTTTGTTTGTGGAAGCTAAGAATGGGGAGTTATTTCTATGTTTTTACAGGGTTTTCATATATAGAAAACAAATAATATTTGACAGAGACTGTATACGGCCCACAAAATCTAAAATATTTACTCTCTTGCCCTTCTCAGGCAAAGTTTGCCAAACCCTGCTTTATGGGATACAAATATATTTTGGGAAAAATATATTCTTTTTATTAACTACTTTTTGTAAAGTCTCATCTTTTTGTATGATGCATATTATAAATCTTTTATGTAAAACTCTGAATAGCTCAGCAAAATAAAAATTTGGAAAGATAAAAATAGTTCAATTAATAGATCACTTCCATATATTCTGCATTAAATCATAAGTTTACATATACATATGTATACATATATATGCAAACATACATACACACATATGTATGTATGTATATGTATATATAAAGAGATAAAAACCTTACTGTATTTTCATTAGTATACTTTCTATTTGTCAATGATGGTGATTTGGCACTTCAAATTTGATGAGACTCTGCCAAACTTTTAAAAACATTCCATAAGATTAAAAATAAATAGCAGTACATTGAAAAGTTTAAAAATATGAAACAAATACTATTTTAAATGGACCAGTGGGGGGACATCAAAGAAACTCCCATTAATTCCCCTAATTCAAAAGTTCTTTCTCTTTTGTACGTTTGATTCTAATATAGTTTTTACATAGGAAAATATAATATTTCGTATAAAAGATTTAATAGTTTCATTAGTCATATAGGCTAAAATAAGTCCAATCACAGTAACTTTGCCCAACAAAAGTTGTTTCTAACCCTTGTTACATGTTCAAGGAAGGCTAGCAAGGGCAGAGAATTTTGTCTTTGCAAAGTCACCTAGGTACCCAAGACAATGGAGCCTTTGCCATCTAGATCAAATGTCACCAGTGCTCAGGGCAGGGCAAGAGAGAAAGACAAAGGGATTCTGAAAGGGTTTTTTACTTTCTTTGCCCACAAGTGACCCACAGTTAAGTTTTCTGTTTTGGCTCATGGCCCTGCCTAAATGCAAGTCCACTAGGAAATGCAGTTTTCCATGTGCCCTGGGAGGAAGAATATGATGTGCGAATTGATGCACATTTTCTCTGCCATACTATACGAAGTTTTAAGTAAATTATGTGTTCCAGCTACATGATTTCTATTTGGTATGGGCCTTCTGGAAGAAAAGAAACATTTTCCAAAGCTCAAGGATTGTTTTAGTTGCTTAGTGCCAATTAAATTCAAGTAAAATTTATTACCTATTTTGCTGAACCACATGGAAGTGTCACAACAGTAAGTGTCAGCCCAGAAATGGGTTTTTAGGAGAAAGGAATGTTATTAGTTTGAGAAGCATCAAATTCTGGCTCCCCAAGCAGATGGTCCTTGTATTGGCCACTGTCCCAGAGAATCATCTCCTGGAATGTTCCAAGAGAAAAAATGACTCACTCTATAACTTTCTCCAAAGGAAAAAAAGAAGGATCAAGAGGTGTTTCGTATGTTTTCCCCTTTCCCTTTTTGCATTGTTTTTTTTTTTCTTTTAACAGATCACTGACTGCTCAAATGCAGAGTTTCCCTTTGCAACTCTCAAATTACTCATGACACACTACTTAGGCCAGTGTTCTCTAGCAGTAACACCATACTCAGAACTCCCTTTTTCCTTCTTCCGCACATCAGAACATAAGAACTTCCTGTGTATTCTAATAGTCATTTACTGGAAATCTTAGTAAGTTTGATGTGTTGATGTTAGTTGGTATTAGTGATGGAATCTTTTATCTGTTTGCAGAAATTATCTGCATTAAAAAAAAAATGGAATCTTGGAGAAGTGATGCCCGTTATCCAGTGTTATTTGTTTTTAATGGCAGATTATCAATAATCATGTCATGGTAGATTCCCAGGAGAACATTCAAGCAGGGAGTCTTTTCATGATCCTCCCAAAATGTTATTCATTATAAAATAGCTTGCTATTTTGTCTGACTATATTCAGTGTCATTTATTTATTCAAATGTTTATATTTTTAATTCATCAAATATTTATTATTTACATACTATTGGCCAGATAGTATCTGGGAATGAGATAATACATTTTCACTGCTTTCAAGGAGGTACTGACTGGATGCAGGCTCTCATCTCTCACCACCGCCACTGCTGCCTCTACCTGAACATGCTGCCCAGAAGCCTGGGAATTGCCCCACCTATTTACTATAGTCTGCATCCATGTGCAGACTATATGCAGGATTCCTTGCACAATTAGGGATAGAAAGATACCCTTATTTCTTCTCCATTGCTATAGGATGTTTAGTCTGTCATAGTGAAGAAGGGGGTATAGGACAGGCACATCTAGACTGGCACCACCCCCCTCAATGCTGGAGCATGCCACTTAGGGGCCTGTGGATTGCCCTGCCCCATTCACCATATCTTGGATCTGTGCATTTCCCTCAGCAGCCTGAGAATGAGCCTGCCCAGCCTTCCAGCACCACCAGTGCCCACACCCACCCCCACACATGCCACCAGGAAACCTGAGAACTGGCCCACCCATCTCATCACAGCCAATACTAACACCAGTGTGTGCTACCTGAAGCTCAAGGATTATCCCACCACTGCTATTGCCATTGCCCACAGCACACTTGCTGCCTATGGGACTGAGGAACCACCCACCTGCCCAGCCCATTGCTGCTATTGCTGGCACTTAAGCCAGCCACCTGGAGCCACAAAAATTAGATCCTCTGGACCTACTAACACCAGCTGCCACATACAATTCCTGGGTCCCCAAGTACAAGCATGTTTAGCCTTTAGCAGCCACCTCTGGGCTCAAGGCCTGGCCCAACTGGCATCCCCGTCCCTAGGAAAGCTTCACATATCCTCTAATAACAACTTCAGCCTAAACACTGAAGAAATCACAGACACCACTGACACTGTTTATAGCTTAAGACATTGTAGGGAGACTACACTACTGCACACACCCAGAAACAAACCTAAAGAGCTTTAATCAAACAATACCATAGATGCATCTTCAGGAAAAAGTCTTCCTCAGTGAAAGCCAATCCAAAAAATTGGAGGAAGTGGCTGTCACACCAGATGTGTAGATATCAAGGTAAGGACACAATAAAAATGAAAAACAAGGAAATATAACACCTCTGAAGAAACACAATAATTCTCTAGCAACAGATTCCAATGAAAAAGAAATTTTTGAAATGCCAGAAAAATAATTCAGAATAATGATATCAAAGAAGTTCATTGAGATCCAAAAATACACAGATAAACATTACAAATAAATCAGAAAGAGACAATTCAAAACGTGAATGAGAAATTCACCTTAAGAGAGAAATATCCTACAAAAAAAAACAAACAAAAATCCTAGAATTGAAGAATGCTATGAACTAAAAAGTACATTCAAGAGCATCACTAGAAGAAAGAATTTTATAACATAAAGACAAGGTTTTTGAAATAACTCAGACAAAAAAAGAAAGAAAAAGGAATAAAAAAGAATGAAACTAAGCCTACCTAACATATAGGATACCATAAAGCAACTAAATATTCTAATTTTGGGTTCAAGATGATGAAGACAAGGCCAAAGGCATACAAAAACCATTAAATGAAATAAAAGATTAAAAACTTCCCAAGTCCAGAAAGATATTAGACATCCAGATATAGGAAGCTCAGAGGTCCCCAAATAGACACAACCCTAAAAAGGTTCCATAGCACATTACAGTCAAAGTGCCAAAAGTCAAAGACAGGGAGAATTCTAAAAATAGCAAGAGGAAAGCTTCTAGTCACGTGTAAGGGAGCCGCCATCAGACTAACAGTGAATTTCTCAGCAGGAACCTTATTGGCCAGGAGGGAATGGGATGATATATTCAAAATGCTGAAAGAAAGAAAGAAAAAAAAAACCTGTCAGCTAAGAGTACTATACCCAGCAATATTATCCTTCATGAAAGAAGGAGAAATATAGTCTTTCCCAGACAAGCAAAAACTGAGGAAATTTGCCACAACTGCACTGGCCCCGCAAGATATACTTAAGGGATCCCTATACCTGGAAGTGAAAGGTCATTATCTACCATCATGAAAACATGAACATATAAAACTCACTGGTAGAGTAAACACACAAATGAGGAAGAGAAACAACTCAGAAGTTACCACTACAGAAAACTACCAAACTGCAATGATGAACAATAAGAGAGAAAGAAAGGAACACAAAAATATACAAAACAAATAGTAAACAATTAATAAAATAGCAGGAATAAGTTCTCACATGTCAATAATAACTTTGTAAATGAATTAAATTTTCCACTTAAAAGATATAGACTGGCTGAATAGATAAAAATATGACCCAAGTATATGCTACCTACAAGAAATTCACTTCACCTGTAAAGACACATATAGCCTAAAAGTTAAGTGATGGAAAAATATATTCGATGCAAATGGAAACTAAAAGTGAGCAGAAGTAGCTACCCTTATGTCAGGTAAAACAAACTTTAAGTCAAAAACAGTAAAAAGAGCCAACGAAGGTAATTGTATAATAAAGGGATCAATTCATCAAAAGAATATTACAATTATAAAAATATATGCACCCAACATTGGAGCTTTCAGATATATAAAGAAAATATTACTAAATCTAAAGAGGGGGATATACTTTAATACAATTCTCCACTCTCAGCATTAGATAGGTTATCTAGACAGAAATATAACAAAGAAACATTGAATTTAAATTGTGCTTTAGATCAAATGGACCTAACAGACATTTACATAACATTTTATTTAACAGCTGCAGAATACACATTCTTCTCATAAGCAGATGGGTCATTATGCAGGTTAGATCATATGCTAGGTAACAAAACAAGTCTGAATAAATTTTAGAAAATGAAAATCATTATCAAGTATGTTTTCTGACCATAATGAAATAAAACTAGAAATTAATAACAATAGGAACTTTGGAAACTGTACAAATACATGAAATTAAAAACATGCTCCTGAATGACCATCAGGTGAATGAAGAAATTAAGAGGAGAATCACAATTTTTTTTCAAACAAATGAATATGGAAACACAATACACCAAGACCTATGGGATACAGCAAAAGCAGTACTAACAGAAAAGTTAATAGGAGTAAATCACCTATATCAAAAATGTAGAAAGATTTCAAACAAACAGTCTGCTGATTGACCTCAAGGAACTAGAAAAGCAAGAACAAACCAAACGAAAGCTTAGTAGAAGGAAAGAAATAATAAAAATCAAAGCAGAACTAAATAAAAGGGACTAAAAAATCCCTAAATAATGCAAAGGATCAATGAAACAAAGTTGGTTTTTAAAGATAAAAATCTATAAATCACTTGCTAGACTAACCAAGGAAAAAAAGAGCAAGACCCAAATAAACAAAATTAAAAATGAAAAAGGAGACGTTACAACTGATATCACAGAAATAAATACAAAAGGTCATCAGAGACCGTTATGAATAGCAATACTCTAACAAACTGGAAAACCTAGAGGAAATGGATAAAAAATACCAAGATTGAATGAGGAAGAAATAGAAAACTTGAACAGACCAATAATGAGTAATGACATTAAATCAGTAATAAAAATTCTCCCCATGAAGAAAAGCCCAAGACCAGATGGCTACATGGCTGAATTCTATGAAACTTGTAAAGAAGAACTAACACCAATTATTTTCTAACTATTCTACAAAATTGAAGAGGAGGAAATTCTCCCTAACTCATTCTATAAGCAAGCATTACTTATAGACAAGGACACAACAAGAAAGAAAACTACAGGGTATAGTCCTGATGAACATAAACTAAAATCCTTAACAAAGTACTAGCAAACCAAATCCAACAACAGCACATCAAAAAGATAATACATGATGATCAAGTGGGATTTATCCCAGCAATGTAAGAATGTTTCAACATATGCAAACCAATAAATGTGATATATCACATCAACAGAATGAGGAAGAAAAACCATATGATCATCTCAACAGACACAGAAAAAGTGATAAAATTTCACATCCCTTTATGATAAAAACTCTCAAAAACTAGTCATAGAAGAAACATACCTCAACATAATAAGGTCACATGTAACAAACTCACAGCTAACATCACATTTAATGGGGAAAAAGTGAAAGCCTTTCCTCTAAGACCTAGAACAAGACAAGGATGTCAACTTTCACCACTTCTATTTAGCATAGTACTAGAAGTTTTAGCCAGAGCAACCAGGAAAGAGTAAGAAATAAAAGCCTTCTGAAAAGGAAAAGAGAAAGTCAAATTATCCTTCTTTGTAGATAACATGATATTATATTTAGAAAAACCAAAAGGCTCTATTAAAAAACTCTTAGATCTGATAAACAAATTCAGTGAAGTAGCAGCATAGAAAAACAACATGCAAAGATGAGTAGCATTTCTATACACCAATAATGAACTAGCTGAAAAGAAAAGAAGGCAATCTCATTTGCAATAGCTGCAAAAAAAAAAAAGACTAGTAATAAGTTTAACTAAGGAGGTGAAAGATCTCTATAAGGAAAAGCACAAAACGCTGATGAAAGAAATTGAAGAGGACACAAACAAAAAAATCCCATGTTTGTGAATCAAAAGAATTAATATTGTTAGAATGGCCATACTATCCAAAGTAATCTATAAACAATGCAATCCTTAACAAAATATCAATGTCATTTCTCACAGAAATAGAAAAAACAATCCTGAAATTTATATGGGACCAAAATGTATATGGAACCGAACAACCCAAACATCCTGAACAAAAAGAACAAAGTTGGAGGCATCACACTTCCTGATTTCAATATATACTATGATGCTATAGTAATAAAAAGAGCATGATATTTGTGTGAAAAACAGACACACAGATCAATGGAACAGAATAGAAACCCAGAAAGAAATCTGTGTATTTAGAAACAACTGATATTTGACAAAGGAGCCAAGGACATACATCAGGAAAGAGACACCTTCTTCGATAAATTGCGCCAGGAAAACTAGATATTCGTATGCAGAAATATGAAACTAGACATTTATCTCTCACCATATACAAAAATCAACTCAACATGGATTAAAGACTTAAACACAAGGCCCCAAGCTATAAAACTACTAAAAGAAAACGTAGGGGAAACACTCCAGGACATTGGCACAGGCAAATATTTTATGGTTAAGATCTCAAAAGTACAGGCAATAAAAACAAAAAATAGACAAATGGTACTATGTTAAACTAAAATGCTTCTGTATGGCAAATAAAACAATCCACAGAGTGAAGCAACAACCTCTTGAATGGGAAAAAATATTTGCAAACTATTCAACTGACAGGGGCTAATATCCAGAATATATAAGGAACATAAACAACTCAACAGGAAACAAACAATAACTCAATTAGAAAGTGGACAAAGAACCTGAATAGACATTTCTTTTTGAGAATTTCTCAAAAAGAAATGTCTGTTCTTCTTTTGAAAGGAGAATTTGTATATGATCAACATGTAAATGATAAAATGTCCAACATCACTGTCATTAGAGAAGCACAAATCAAAATCATAATGAGATATCATGCTACCCCAGATTGAGTGGCTATTCTCAAAAAGAAAAGAAAATAACTGATGTTGGTGAGGATGCAGAGGAAGGAAAACTCATGCCTTGTTGATGGGAACATAAATTAGTACAGCAATAATGAAGACAGTATGGAAATTTCTTAAAAACTAACTATAGTACTACTCCATGAATCCCACTACTGGGTATTTACCCAAAGGAAAATCAGTATATGGAAGGGATGCTTGCACCCCCATGTTTATTGCAGTACTACTCACAATAGCAAAGATATGAAATCAACCTAAGTGCTCATCAATGGATGAATGAAAAAAGAAAATCTGGTAAACATATATGATGAAATATGATTTGGCCATAAACCCCCCCCAAATCCTGTCATTTGCAGCAATATGGGTGGAACTAGAGGTCACTATGTTAAATGAAATAAGCCAGTTACATAAGGACAAAAATCATGTGTTCTCATTTATATGGTGGAGCTAAAAAAAAGTTAATCTCTTGGAAGTAGACAGTAAAATGATAGTTAACAGAGGCTAGGAATGGTGTGTGGTGCAGGTGGAGGTGGGAAGAGGTAGATGAAGAGAGGTTGATTAGTGGGTAGAAACACACTGTTAGAGAGAAGGGATAAGCTTTAATGTTCAATAGCAGAGTATAGTGGCCATAATTAACAGAAATGTATTCTATATTTCAAAATAGCTAGAAGATTAAACACCCTGGCTTGATCATCACACATTCAGTGCATATAACAAAGTATCACATGTACCCCCATAAATGAGTACAAATATTATGTATCAATGATTCAGAAAGTGTTAAGAAATCTTTGCCCCTCTCCAAATCAGAGATTTTTACATTTATATTTTGTTCTGTAAGTTTTATAGTTTTTGTGTTTACATTTAGGTCACTTTCAAATTAATTTTTTGTGTATGATGTGAGGTAAAGAGAATGTTTCATTTCTAAAATGTATATCTAGTTGTTCCAGAAATATTTACTGAAAAAATACTTTCTCCGTAGATTATCTTGACACCTTTGTTGAAAACCAGTTGACCACATATGTGTGAATTTAATTCTGGAATTTCTGTTCTTCTCCATTGATCCATATATCTATAATTCCACCAATAACATATTATCTTCATTACTATAGTTTTATATTACATCTTGAAATAGATATTGTAATCTCAACTTTGCATTTGTTCCAAAATGCTGTGGCTATTCTAAATTTTTTGTATGTTCATATAATTACTAGAAATAACTTGGCAATTTCTAAAAATAACACTTTTGGAACTTAGATTTGAATTCTATTAATCAATAGATTAACTTGGGGGATAATTTACATCTTAAAACTTGATTTTCTAAATTAATGAACATGGTTTATTTCTTTTTTAATTTAGATCATCTCTAGTTTCTCTCAGGAATTTGTTGTACATATTTAATTAAATTTATCACCAAGTATTTAATATCTGTAATAATGTCATCTCTTTCATTCCTGATATATTTATTTTGTGTTTTTTCTATTATTTTCAGAAGAATATATTGAGGATCAGTCTATATGTAGGATTACCAATTTTTTAATTGATAATAACCAGCTTTTATTTCTGTTGATTTTTGCTATTGTTTATCCCTTTAAATTGATATTCATTCATGTTTTTCTTGTTTTTTACTGTTCAGTCTGAAACAGCAAAAGGTCTAACATGGTATCCTATTTTTGTGCATGCACACACACACACAAACATGTACTGTTATACTTATTCTATTAGAATAGAAAAAGCTCTGATCAGAGCTAGGCTTTTAATTATTGACAAAACTTTTTGCGTAGGTTTTCCTATACCCCAATTTCTCATAAGGTTACACAATGAAGGCAGATGTCACCTTTGCATACAGTGCACAGGAAAGAAACTCTAACATTATGATTTTCAGAGGTCATATAGGGCAGCTGATACATTCACTCCTCCTCCCCTCCAGAGATGGAGAAAGAAAGATTTTGACTCTGGAATGTAATCATATCTTCCCTCTGGGTAGGAGGGTAAGGTTTCTGGGATTTTATTACTCTTTGGAATGTAAAAATATGTCTCTGGCATAGTTGTCTCTAAAGCTCTCTGGAGATCTCTCTTTTTAGGGTTTCTATTCAATCATTTTTCACTCCAGGTACCACCTACCCAGCTCAGAAAAGTCCTGAGCAGTATATATTTGAAAATAGCCATAAATCATTATTTTCCAACACCTTCCTTCTACTTACTTTGATTTATTTTTCTTTTCCAAGCTTAATGTAGAAGCTCAGATACTGAGTTTTAGAACTTTTTCCTTTTTAAAATATAAGCTAATAAACCCATAAATTTCACTTTAAACTTCACCTAGCAGCAGATATGTTGTATTTTCATTATCATTCAGTTATAAGTACTTTATAATATTTCTTAGCATTTGACACATAGTTCATTTAAAATTGTGTTGTTTAATTTCCAAATATTCAGGAATTTTTCATATATCCTATTGATATTTTTTTCTGGTTTAATTCAATTGTGGTCTAGAACATGCTCTGTAGTATTACAATAATTCTAAATTTATTAAAACTTGGTTTATAGCCCAGTTTATGGTCTATTGTAGTAAAAGTTCAATATCCACTTGAAAGTAATGTGTATTCTTCAGCAGGTAGGTGGCATGTTCTATAAATGTCAATTTGATCAAATTGATTGATAGCATAGTTCGGGTCTTCTGTATACTTAGTGATTTTCTGTCTACTAGGTCTATGAATTACTGAGAGAGGAGTATTGAAATATTCAACAATAATGGGGTTTTGTCTATTTATTCTTGCAGTTCTTTTAGTTTTTTCTTCGTATATTTTTTAG
The DNA here is from genome assembly GCF_000001405.40 of Homo sapiens. Taxonomy (NCBI): domain Eukaryota; kingdom Metazoa; phylum Chordata; class Mammalia; order Primates; family Hominidae; genus Homo; species Homo sapiens. The sequence continues at coordinate 156,835,480 of NC_000002.12, forward strand.
TGCTTTTTAAAGTTCATATACATTAGGATTTTTAGATCTTCTTTATCTTATTTATAAAATAATAATGTCCCTTTTATCCCTGGTAATATTCCCTTTTATGAAGTTTATTTTATTTATTTCATAAAAGAGAATCTGTTTACAAATTCCCTTTGAAAAATCTGTTTATAGATATTAGTATAGAGGTTTCAGCTTTGTTCTGATTAACATTTGCATAATATATCCTTTTCCATGCTTTTACTTTTATCATATATGTGTTTCTATATTTCTAGTAGCTTTTTTTTCTACACAGTATATAATTGAATCTGCTATTTTGTCTAGATTGGCAATCTATGTCTCTTAATTTAAGTGTTTAGAACATTCATATTTAATGTAATTATTGGTACCCTTGAGCTCAAATTGGTTCTTTTCACTATTTATTTTCTATTTTTGCATCTTTTTCAGCTTCCCCCCCTTTTTTTTACTCTTTTAACTAACTAATATATTTTTTCATATTTGATTTTATCTCTAATATTGGCTTATTGGCAATAATTCTGTGCTTTATATTTTAGTAGATTCATTCGAGTTTTCAATATACATCTTTAACATATCATAATCTAACTCAGAAATTGCCAAGCTTTTTCTGTGAAAGGCCAAATAGTAAATACTTTTGGCTTTATTGGCCACATAGGGTCTCTGTCATATATTCCTTTTAAAAATAACACTAAAAATGTAAAAAACTTTCTTAGCTTGTGGACCTTACAAAAACAAGACTCAGAAGAAACTTGGGCTATGACCATAGTTTGCTAGTCATTACTGCCAATTATTTATATTTGAAGCTTCAAATATAAGAAATTTCACATATAATATAAGGAACTTAACAACAATGTGATTTTCCCCTTCTATCCTTGATGCTATTTTGTCATATATTTTCCTTCTGCATATAAGCCTCACTATTTGTCATTATAAATGTTACTTTGAATAGTCAATTGTCTTTTAAAAGAAATTGAAAGGCAAAGAAATAGTCTTATATATTTTTCTATGTATTTATTATTTCAGGTACTCTTTTTCCAAGTATATGTCTAGTATCACTTTCTTTCAGCTTGAGGAATTTTTAAGTTATTTAATATTTTTAACATTTCTTCTTGTGCTAGTCTGCTGTATATGAATTCTTTCAGATTTTGCTTGTCTGCAAAAATGTTTACTTAACCTGCAACTTTGACATGAATATTCACTCAATATAGAATTATTTGTTGATTTTTTTTGGCACTTTAAATATGTCACTCTGTTGACTTTGGCTTGTGTTTTTCCTGACGAGTAGTATATGAGCATTCTTATGTTTGTTTCCCTACATGTAGAATGTCAATTTTTTTGTCTTGTTCTTTAAATATTTTTCTTTTCATCATTGGACTTCAATAATTTGATTATGATGTTGCTTAGCATGACTTTCTTTGAATATCTGTTGATATATCTCATCAAATTTGAAATATTTTTATTTTTCCTGTATCTTTTTTGCCTTTTTCTTATTTTCCCCACTTTCTTTCACTCCAAGTACATATATATTAGACCACTTCATATTGTCCCACAGATGACTTAGGGTCTAAGTATTTTTTTAGTCTTTTTTTCCCTGTGCTTTTGAATATATTTGAATATATTTTACTGTTATATCTTCAAGTTCATTGATTCTTTTTTTTTCTTCTGAAGGGTTTAATATGCTGTTATGCCTATCCAGTAGCATTTTCATTTCAAATGTTACAGTTTTCACCTGTAGAAATTCCATTTGTTCTTTTAAAAATATCTTCTATTTCTGTATTATCAAGTATATGTTTTCCTTTAAATCACTAGACATATTTAAATAGAACATTTTAAAGATTTTTCTGCTAATTTCATCATCTTTGCTATGTTTGGCTCGGCTTTTATTAATTGCTTTTTCTCTTGGTTACGATTCCAATTTTGCTACATTTTGTAACTTGGCATAGTTTTTTCAAGGTCTTTTTAAAAAGCATTGTTAGATTAGGTCTAAAATAGCCTTTACTCTAGAGTAAATTTAACCTTGCTTGTAAGGTGTGACGCTTCTGATATTTCTATTGAATGCTTCAGATATTCAACAAGATCTTCCTATTATGGCTGGTAAACACTTGCATGTTAGCCAGCCATATTTGAGCTTTGCGAATTGTTCAGCCTATAGCTCCCTAACAGCTTATCTATATAAACCAAGCTTCATAGTGTTTCACCTGGTGCATATGCAGATTGTTTTCAACATAGGATTTCGCCTATAATATGGTTATATTGAACAGTAAAAAACAATGGTTTAGCACCATCTCCCTGGCGCTGTCTAGAGTTCTCACAAGATCTGATTGCTTGAAAGTGTGTAACACTTCTCCCTTCACTCTCTCTCTTCCTCTTTTTGCCATGCAAGATGCGCCTTGTTTCTTCTTTGCCTTCTGCCATGATTGTAAATTTCCTGAGGCCTCCCCAGTCATCTGGAACTGTGAGTCAATTCGACCTCTTTTCTTTACAAATTATCCAGTCTCAGGTATGTCTTTTCATCAGTGTAAGAATGGACTAATACAGCCTAAGACTCTTGGGGATCCTTAGGTAGATTTCTAGAAGTCTTTTTCTGAATAGCTCCCTCTTCTCCAGCTGCCTTATCCTTGTATTTCTGTGTCTGTCCCCTGACCACTGTGAGCATGAGTTCTATTTTGCCCTGGCAGAAAGCCAAGGAGCTTATAGGCTTCATCTCATTTGCTTCTCTAGCAGGGTCTGCATTCCTGTGCGTCTTGTTATCCAGTGGTTGAAAACAGTTGCTTCATATATTTAGTCTAGCTCTCTAATCATTTAGTTGTTTGTGGTGGAAAACAAGACCCCTATCATTTACTACGGGGGTGTCCAATCTTTTGGCTTCCCTGAGCCACACATAAAATACACTAACACTAACAATAGCTAATGAGCTAAAAAATGCAAAAAAAAACCTCATAATGTTTTTAAAAAGTTTATGAATTTGTGTTGGACCACATTCAAAGCCATCCTGGGCTGCATACAGTCTTGAAATTCTTCTGTCCTTAAAATCGATGAAGGCTTTATGGTAAAGCCTTGCTCCAATGGCTATGTAGACAAGGTGGGAATATCAGTGGAGAGTGAGTTCTGTGAGTGTCTCTCATTAAAGGGTATTTACAAATACAGTGGTGGAAGAGTAATTATTTTTGTTTGGAGAGGGATTAGAGAAAGCTTTACAGAGGAGGAGAGAGATGTTAGGGAGTCTTGAAGGATAGAAAATATGAAGATTTAAGAGAGGCAGTTTCCCAAGCAGAAGTACTGTGTGGAAGACAGAGACATGAAATGGAATATCTTGAGCATGTAAGTTTGAGGAGGAAGGTATGTGGACTGGAAGTGTAAACAGGAAGAACCCTGATTGCATGCTATGGTATTGAGTTTAGTCTTTATCCAGTAGTGGAAAGAAAGGCTTTAAGGAGAGAAATTATTTGTTTAGATAGGTAGAAAACAAAACTTTGTGCTGGCAGTATGGAAAATTCATTAGTGGGAATTATGGCTGGAGACAGTATAATTCTTTTGCAGTGTTCTTCAACTTGCAGTGTTTTTCAACTTGTAACCGATAAATGAGGTTTTAAAATCAATATTTCTTTAATAGTGGAACCAAATAGAGTATAACAGTGTACATCACACATTAATAAGAAGAATTTTTTTTTGGAACTTATGTTTCACCAATATATGTGCAGTTTTATTGATGCATGCTTATAGTGAGTTGTAATGTAAACATGTATCTTCATGGTGATAAGAAAAGTTTGAAAGTCACTGCTTTAATAGACTATGAAAATTGTCTAGGTAAAGATTATGAAGATGAGCCTGGGCACTATGGTGAGACCTGTCTCACCATATCTCTACAAAAAATTAAAAAAAATAGCCGGGCACAGTGGTGTACACCTGTGGTCCCAATTACTTGGGAGGCTGAGGTGGGAGGACCACTTGAGCCCAGGAGGTTGAGGCTGCAGGGAGCCATGATCACTCTGGTGTACTACAACCTGGGCAACAGAGCAAGTCCCTGTCTCAAGGAAAAATTAGAATTTAGCCAAGGCATTAAAAATGAGAAAAAATAGGAATGATAATGAAAATGTAAAATGTATAGGATTTAGAGTTTAGTGAGTTATGTGGCTTGAGGGTATCAGATAAGTACAGGATGGCATTTCTGTGTCTAATTTATATAATTGGGTGTTGATGACTTTATTCCAAATATAAGTGCTAAAGGAGGAGGTACAAATTTTGGGAGAAGCGATATTACTGCAGACAAAGAATCAAAGACTCAGAGGGTGGTTAGGAAAGGATCCAAAGCCTTTTTACTAAACAGTAAAAGTTAATTTGAGCTATCATCATCTGTTTGGCCCTTGGAGAGGAGAAATGACAGGAAGAAAAGTGTAACAGCAGAGTAACCTAAGAGTAGATATACCAAGTTGGGCAACAGCCTAAATGAAGTCAGACATTTTCTTCTCAATATATTATTTTATTTTTTTGTCTTAAAAAAAGCATTTTATGATGAAGGAAAGCCCATTGGGTGATTTTGACAAAATATAGAAATATAGGAAGATAGATAGAAGAACCATACATTATATGTAATACATGAGACCTTAAGCCCTTGATGACATTTATCTTCACTTGTGAGAAGAGATTTAATAAAGTAATTTATTAGGTCTCTTCTCACTCATAAAAAGAAATGTCATAAAAGACCTATTCCTTCATATATTCTCCATATATTGAGTATTAATCCTTATATTCCTAACTCAGTATCATAGGCTAAATTTTCAGTAGTTCTGCTTTAGAGTAAAACAAATGTAGATGCTAAGAAACATCTTAAATTTTAAGGACAGAGAATTTCAAGACTGGTCGATGCTTTTGAGTTCCTCAATCTTAAGTGCATATTTATTTTCAGAAAAGAACTAACCTTGGGACATAAGCGAAACATGATTTCGGTTGGTTAAATTGAAATGCAAAATAAGATGTCTGTTTCTGTTTAGATGATAGAGCTAACACTTTACATGGACCAAGTCTACTTCCCAACCACACCTTTCCCAGAGAAAAAGTGACAAGGTTGTTGATGATTTCTTTACTCTTAGAAAGAAAGCTCAATTCAGAGTCTACAGTGTGTAAGACAGCAGAGTTATCATCAAATATAAAATTCAACTATTTAAAAGATAGTAATTTGAAAGCCATATAAAGTTTAAAACAAAGTTTACAAAAATAACTGGGAAGATAAAGAATTTGAGTGCAAGTTAATTCCAGCTCAATTTATTATTTTTAAAGTCAATGAAAATGATGCCAAATTCAATTTAAACATTAAAGTTTGTGCTATTTTAGTTATATATTTTAGCCGCTCCTAAAACATGACTGTTTTTCACCTTTGCCTTTTGGGTGTCTCTGCACTTGGGAAGGGAACTGTCTTGTCCAATAAATTTCCAGGTATATCTTCAGTTGCTTGAGACATGAGCACAATGATATAATGCACAGCAAATACGAAATGACTTCAGAAATTGACACAAATTCCTAAAATTGACACAAAGTGACAGGTCTTTTCAAAGGGAAAGTCAGCTGACATTGGATTGGGTTATCTTTCTCAAAACAGCACTTCAGCTCCAGCAGCATAGGTAGGTGGAAAGGATTTGTAAGGAAATGGACAAAAGAATGTGACGTACTTTGATAAATGGCCATAGTAATAGGTCCGTATAAAGCACAGACCCCTTTATTAGTTAAAAATTCGAACTCAAAAACTTGATTTATGTTAAAAATTCTAACTCAAAGACTTCATTTTTATTTTGAAAAATCTAAAATGCTTCTCATATGTGAAAATACAGATTCCAAAAGTCTGATTCAGCTCTAGCTTGTTAAGCAGAAAGCCTTGTAAGAATATGACTATTAGTTTTAGAATTGTGGATGACTGCCTCTACAATAAAGAAACACTTATTTTAGGTAGAGGTGACATTGCAATTCGCAGAAGCAATATGATTAGCTTCCTTTTCTCAAATGTGCGCTGGCCCATCTATATACAGTACAGTAGTTCCCTCTTACCCGTGGTTTCACTTTCTGCATTTTCAGTTACCAGGAGTCAACTGTGGTCAGAAAACAGGTGAGTACAGTACAATAAGTTATTTTGAGAGATAAACTGCATTCACATGATTTTTATTACAATGTATTGTTATAATTGTTCTAATTTATTAGTTATTGTTGGTAATCTCTTACTGTGCCTAATTTATAAATTAAACTCTTCATCATAACTATGTATATATAGGAGAAACAGAATGTTTTTGTATATGGTTATAGTTAGTGAGCCATATACATGGTTCAGTTCTATCCATGGTTTCAGGCATTCCAGTTCAAGATCCACTGGGGGTCTTGGAATATGTCCCCCATATATGGATATGAGGGAATTACAACATAAGCAAACGCCATGTCAGTAGCTTAGTGAGTACAAAGTAGTGTCTTATATGTAGTAGAAAAAGTATTTTAAATTTTATGCTAGCTCTTAATTATAAATTTCATTACAAAAATTATAAAATATACAAAAGTATATAGAAGCAAAAATTGGAGACTCCCCTCTTTCACTCATGTTTTTGCTAGATCCATTATTAACAGATCAGATATTAGAAATAGATTGCTTTTGGCTTTTAATAATTGAGTTAAGACAAAAAAACCTGTTTTTTTTTCATTAAAAAGTCAATTTCAGCATAAAATTAGTGAACTAATATATCTAATTATAGAAATGTTATCTTTTCATATACATTGCTATGACTTTAGCATAGAAAGGAAGCATGAGTAAAATGTGCAAAATAGAATTATTCCAAAAGGAGAATAAACATTGCTTATTTTTATTTAAATATAATGATGATATTGGTTCTCATAGAAGTGAACTAGTAGTGGTTGTTTTTCTTCCTGCAGTCTCCCATTTAATAATGTTCACATATATCTCTGCTATTATGGGTGGAGTGCTTCAGATGGCAGCACTACAAACTGGGGATTTTCATCAGTTATCTTCAAAATCTCATAAAAAATTTCTGCTCATGCAGATTTAAGCAACATGAAGATTTCTATAAGCCATTAACACTTGCTCCTATATCAGAGATACCAGATTTTTGCTGACCAAGGGAGCAAAGACAGTATGTTGTAGCTGTTTCCTAAAATGAGTAGGGGCATCCCTTTCCTATCATCCCCTTTCATGACCCCTTTTGAAATGGTCATGAAAGTGTCCTGATAGTGCAATCTTCCTGGGTATAAATGTGCACAGGTTATATAGTGTATCTCGATAAAGTCTATAGGAGAAACAGGTAAGTGTGAGAAAAGTGGTGAAAATTGTGTACTCTGAGGAGTGTGTACAATTGATATATATCCGGCATGAGACTTTGAAAATATTCTTTAATGTGAAAATAAATGTAATTTATTTTCAAAATACAGAGAAAAATTTAAACTTTACAATATGACAGCAAGAAATATTTTACAACTATTTTTATTTACAATAAATTTCTTTAAAATAAGAGATAAAATAATAATAATGATAAGGTTAGATACAAATGGAACTAAGTTAGATGTGTTCAAACATGAAAATCAACGTAGAAACATGAATGATTATAAAGAAACCACAGAAAAAAGCACCAGCACAGCTAAAATCTGCTTTGGAAGCAATAGAGAACAAAAGCCATATTGCACAAGTAGAAAGTTTGTGTTGTACATAACACAAAACATTTTTTCAGAAAGCACAGAATCTTATTAAAAATTAAAATTTTGTGAGAGATGATAGCTATAAAAATATAGAAAAAGTTGAAAAATATAGAAAAAAGATCAAGTAAGGAAGACAAATATATATCAGTCAAGTTCAATCAAATAGAATCAAATAATTGGTATTCCTGAAGGAGAAACAAAAACAAATGAAAAAAAATCAATATACAAAACAAATGAAATAAAAACAATATCAGAGAAGATAACTCTCCTCCTGTGAAAAAAGACTTTAGTCGGGAAATTAATGGGACTGTTCAGGGAAAGAGGCTTCAAGAGAAGACAATTTTTAGACAACTCCTGGCAAATTTGTTTTCTTACCAAACCAATGTTAGTGTGCCATATACATGGTTCAGTTCTATCCATGGTTCCAGGCATTCCAGTTCAAGATCCACTGGGAGTCTTGGAATGTGTCCCCCATGAATATGGGGGAATTACAATATAATAACATAACAATGTTTTGTTACAACATATGGGGGAATTACAACATACCAATGTTAAAAAACATTCTATAAACATTTAGATAGAAAAAAAAGATTATAGGAAAGGCACAAAAAATCATTTTAAAATGCCTTAGATTTCTCTGCCCTAGTAATCATCAGAAGTTAAGGGAGGAATATCAATAAATTCTTGAGAAGAAAAAGCAATGCCACCAAAATTCATGCATACAAACCATGGCAAAAGAGCCTTGCTTCTTCCAGCATCCAGAATTTCCAGCTTCTAATGTGCCATTCTAAAATTTTACATACAATTATACTTGCCATCTACTTTACCTGGAAAAATAGAAATATACCTCTCTTACGTTCCTTTCCTAAAAAGCTTAGGAAAGATGTCAGATATACACCAACTTGACAAACGTGGATTTAATTAAATCAAATTGAAGATCTCAAGAAAAAGAAGCTATGGTATAGTTTGACTAAAAATTACCCAATCACATTTAAATAACCATGGCAAATGTTCTTACAAGTCATATATATATGAAACATTTCTGAAAAACTAAGATATGTTGTATAAAATCAATACTTATTAATTATATTCTGGGTCTAAAACCTTAGGTAATAGCAACAAATTACAGACGCTTTCAGATAAATTATGAAGGAAATTAGAATTATGTTTATTCTTTATTTTACTAAGGAAGGAATCAATAAACCACTGTTTTATTATTGATAAAATTATATATACACAAGCATATTAAAAACTATAAAGATACTCTCCAAAGTAATTACATTTGATATATTTTGATCTCCAGAGAAGAAAGGCAAATAAAGTATAACATATTTACCGATAGGTAGAAAGCAAAGAAAACATCAAGAAAACATTTTCTAAACAAGAAAATTGGCAAATGAGATTAACTATTAGGTATATAGCCAAAGGAATGTAAATGGTTCATCATAAAGACACATGCAGACATGTGTTTATTGCAGCACTATTCACAATAGCAAAGACATGGAATCAACCTAAATGCTCATCAACAGTAGACTGGATAAAGAAAACATGGTACATATGCAGCACGGAATAATACACAGTCATAAAAAGGAACAAGATCATGTCCTTTGCAGCAACATGAATGAAGCTGGAGGCCATTATCCTAAGTGAACTAACTCAGAAACAGAAAACCAAATGCTACATGTTCTCATTTGTAAGTGGGAGCTAAACATTGAGTACACATAGACACAAAGAAAGGAACAATAGACACTGGGGCTTATTTGAGGGTGAAGGGTGGGAGGAGGGTGAGGACTGAAAAACTACCCATCAGGTACTATGCTTATTACCTGGATGATGAAATAAGGTGTACGCCAAACCCCCGGGACACACAATTTACCTATATAACAAACCTGCACGTGTATCCGTGAAACTAAAATAAAATTAAAAATAAAGAACATGACACTGTAAATGAATCACTTAAACATCCTATCCAGAAACAAAGACTCATGTGTGAGACAAACATCTAAAACAAAATGAGACAAATTAAAAAATAAAGAAGACAAAGATATGTCGGGCAAATAGAATCAAATAGAAAGCCATAACAGAAATAGTACAGCAAATACACATTTTCAAAATTAAAAACTAAAGGGGTTGAGATTGATCTTATTTTGTCAAAAGGAATGCTGTGACAAAAAGATATAATGGCCATAATTGTGTGTGTGTGTGTATGTGTGTGTGTGTGTGTTTATGTGTAATAACACAGCAATGTAATATATGTGAAAGGATTAATTTTGGAAATATTGAGTATACCAAGATATTTTCCTTTGTGTGCTTTCTAAAATCATTTGCCCTTCCTTTGCTATTTATTTAGTTGTGTTAATCTCTTAATCTGAGAAAATTATATTAGAAGAGGAGGTATTAAGTAGACTACATTGTTTTAGAAAAGGTATCAAGTTAGTAGAAATCAAACAATTTAAGTTAGTAAATTTAGAGAAGAGTATATTACTTGGAGGAAGTTTCTGGAGTGACAATTCAGAGAAGTCAGTAGAGCTGTAGTTTTCATTTTGTTCAGTTTTTAATCACATCAGTTTAAATGACATTCAAGTTTTACCATGTAGAAACACGTTTTGCTGTGAAAAGGAGAGCACATCATATTTTAAAATATATTACAAAACTGCCACTTTATGATAAATAGTAAAGCTGCTAAATAGACTTTTGTAAATCATTGGCTGAGCCAATATTCTTGAAAGTCATCACTTGAAATTTGCCACAGCTGGGCTTTTTGAAAAAGAAGGTGTTTGTTTGCCATACTCAAAATACAACATTACACACTAAGTGCAAAAGGCTGGATGACTAAGATCATAGAGTTTATTTCAGAAACCACTTGGTTGAGATAAACACGTGATGCATTTTTAGTTGTTTTTCTACCTAAGAGTTACTAAGGATTCAAACGCTAGATGGGAAGAGAAGATTCAGAGGGAATGGGACAATAGCTGGGGCACCTATGGCCTCTGAAGAGTGACCAGTTGTTGCCCCTGCTTTTAGGCTGAACCTTGAAATTGTTGAAGTGTGGCTGGGAGACTTGAATCCTGGGTCACTGTGATAACAGAGCAGAATAACAGTGTCTGAATGAGAGTCCACATAAATAGCCTCAGGCAAGCTTCGCAGAATCTCCAAAGTTTTCTTGTTCCCCAAAGAGCTTGAGAGAAGTTGTTTATATCACATGCTTGAAGAAATTTTACAAGTTACATGTCAAGAGGTATGCAAATGTGAGTCAGAGACTGGCTTCAGCCCGGGAGCCAGTGTTGATAGGAAGAACAAGCCAGCCCAGTGGTGGACCCTGAAAACAGAGAATGGCAAAGCCCAGATGCCACCCACTAGAGCAAAAAAAAAAAAAAAAAAAAATGCAAGTCTTTGGGAGCTCAAATGCCCCAGGAAAAAGATGAGAAGGGAAAAAAATAAACTGAGAAGAGAGAAATAATTTTCCTTATTCCAGAGAGTTTGAGTTTAACCTGGAGGAGCCTGCATTCCCCTAAATTGGCAGGTTTTCAGCATCAGGGAAAGTGAAGACTTGAGAGCAAAATTAATTTCAGTTAGGAAAAAATTAAGTTATATTTCTTACACCCCTGAGCTGTAGATGTGAAAAAAATCACACACATATAAAACAGACACTATTAAAAATAAAATGAAAATCTGAGAGATTTAAAAATAAATAAGGATATGGGAAATTGGAATGATAATGATGCTGATTAAATTTGCATCCTATAGAAAATTCTTTTAAGAATCCATGGAACATTTGCTTATCTTCAGTAAGTGCCCTAAATATGAACAGGACTGTAGACATTATTTGAGCAGAATTTAGCAACAATAAATAGAACAAATAATCTCCTATGACAATTAGTAAAATGCAAAACTTCGAAATAGTTATTGGGTTAAATAGGAAGAGTGCCCTCAGGGATGGGCGGATTTTCTTATCAGTTACAAATCTACAATAACTAACATACATCAATGCTGACTCAAAATGAAGCAGATCATTTGAAAGAGAACACAGAGTCCAGAAACGGATTCAAGGATACGTAGGCAACATTTTGTATGTGATAGGTGAGGTTTTGAATTAGTGAGAGGGAAAGATGAATATTCAATGAATATTCTTGCTCTTTTTAGATGAAATTTAGATCAATAACTACCTCTAGAATACATTTCTGATACATTACAATTTTCAGATACGTAAACAACGATTTTAATAATAATTGGATGGGTGACCTTTTAAATAATGATATCAAAGAAAAAAGAATAACTGAATGTAATGATAATTTTTTTCTGTTTATAGCTAATTATTACATTTGCACCAACCAATATATTTACAGGCATACCTTATTCTATTGCACATTGCTTTATTGTGCTTTGAAGATATTGCATTGTTTTACAAATTGAAGGTTTGTAGCAAACCTGCATTGAGCAAGTCTATAGGTACAATTTTTCCAAAAGTATGTGCTCACTTCATGTCTGTGTCACATTTCGGTAATTCTCACAATATTTCAAGCTTTATTATTATTATTATATCTGCTATGGTGATCTGTGATCAGTGATCTTTGATGTTATTGTAATTATTTTGGGGTGTCACTGTGTTTGCATAAGATGGTGAACTTAATTGATAAATGTGTGTGTTCTGACTGCTCCACCAACAGGCCATTTCCCTGTTTCTCTGTCTCTCCTCAGGTCTCCCTATTTCCTAAGACACAGTAATATTGAAATTAGGTCAATTAATAACCCAACAATGGCCTCTAAGTGTTCAAGAGAAAGAGTTGCATGCCTCTCACTTTTAATCAAAAATTAAAAATAATTAAACTGGCTGGGTGCAGTGGCTCACATTTGTAATCTCAGCAATTTTTGAGGTTGAAGCATGGATTGCTTGAGCCCAGGAGTTCAAGACTTGCCTGGGAAGCACAGGGAGACCCTGTCTCTACAAATAATAACAATAATAATAATGAAAATTCACCAAGCATGGTGGTGCATGCTTGTGGTCCTAGCTACTTGGGAGACTGAGGTAGGAGGATTGCTTGAGCCCAGGAGGGCAAGGCTGCATTGAGCTATGATTAGGCCACTGCACTCCAGTCTGGGTAAGGAAGCAAGACTCTGTCTCAAAAAATAATAATAATAAACTTAGTGAGGGAAACATGCGAAAAACCAAGATGGGCTCACGCCTGTAATCCCAGCACTTTGGGAGGCCGAGGCAGGCAGATCACTTGAGGTCAGGAGTTCGAGACCAGCCTGGCCGACATGGTGAAACCTTGTCTCTACTAAAAATACGATAATTAGCTGGTTATGGTGGCGTGTGCCTGTAATCCCAGTTACTTGGGAGGCTGAGGCACTAGAATCTCTTGAACCTGGGAGGTGGAGGTTACAGTGAGCTGAGATCGCACCACTGCACTCCAGCCGGGGTGACAAAGTGAGACCCTGTCTCAAAAAACAAACAAACAAAAACCAAGATGGGCCAAAAGTTAGGCCTCTTGTGCCAAACAGCCAAGTTGTGAATGCAATAAAAATTTCATGAAGGAAATTAACAATGCTACTCCAGTGAAAATGTGAAGATAAGAAAGCAAAGCAGCTTATTGCTGATGCGAAGAAAGCTTGAGTGGTCTGGAAAGAAGATCAAACCAGTCTCAACATTCCATAAGCCAAAGCCTAATCCAGAGCAAGTCTCTAATTCTGTTCAATTCTATGCATGCTGAGAGAAGTCAGAAGATGCAAAAGAAATGTTTGAAGCTAGCAGAAGTTGGTTCATGAGATTTAAGGAAAGAAGCCATCTCCATAACATAAAAGTACAAGGTGGTTGGGGGCAGTGGCTCATGCCTGTAATCCCAGCACCTTGGGAGGCTGAGGCAGGTGGATCACTTGGGACCAGCAGTTCGAGACCAGCCAACATGGCAAAACCCCCCTCTACTAAAAATTACAAACCTTAGCCAGGTGTGGTGGTGTGTGCCTGTAGTCCCAGCTACTTGGGAGGCTGAAGCAGGAGAATCACTTGAATTTGGGAGGTGGAGGTTGCAGTGAGTCAAGACCATGCTACTGCACTCTAGCCTGGGTAACAGTGTGAGACTGTCTCAGAAAAAAAAAAAAAAATGTGCAAGGTGAGGCAGTAAGTGCCATGTAGAAGCTGCAGCAGATTACTCACAAGATCTAGCTAAGATCATTGATGAAGGTGGCTACACTAAACAACAGATTTTCCAAGTAGATGAAACAACCTTATGTTAAAAGAAGATGCCATTTAGGACTTTTATAGCTAGAGAAGAGAAGTCAATGCCTGGCTTCAAAGCTTCAAAGGCAGGTTGACTCTTTTGTTAGGTGCTAATGTAGCTGGTGACTTTCAATTGAAGCCAATGCTCATTTACTGTTCCAAAAATCCTAAGACCCTTAAGAATTGTGCTAAATCTACATGGCCTGTGCTTTATAGATGAAACAACAAAGCCTGGATGACAGCACATCTGTTTATAGAAGGATTTACTGAATATTTTAAGCTCACTACTGAGACCTACTGCTCAGGAAAAAAAAAAAAGATAACTTTCAAAATATTACTGCTCACTGACAATGCATTTGGTCACCCAGGAGCACTGATGAAGCTGTACAAGGAGATTAATGTTGTTTTTTATGTCTGTTAACACAACATCCATTCTGTAGCCCATGATCAAGAAGTAATTTTGAACTTCAAGTCTTATTATTTAAGAAATACATTTTGTAAGGCTATCACTGCCATAGATAGTGATTTCTCTGATGGATACAGGCAAAGTAAATTGAAAACCTTATGAAAAGGATTCACTACCATACTAGATGCCATTAAGAACATTTGTGATACATGGGAGGGGACAAATATTAACATTAACAGGAGCTTGAAATAAGTTGATTCCCATCCTCCTGGATGACTTTGATGAGGGTTTCAAGACTTCTTTCGAGGAAGTAACTACAGATGTGGTAGAAATAGCAGAAGAACTAAAATTACAAGTGAAGCCTGAAGATGTAACTGAATTGCTGCAGTGTCATGATAAAATCTTGAATGGATGAGAAGTTGTTTCTTATGGATGAGCAAAGACAGTTTCTTTAGATAGAATCTACTCCTAGTGAAGATGCTGTGAACATTGCTGAAATGACAACAAAGAATCTAGAATACTACATAAAGTTGTTTCACAAAGCAGCAGCACAGTGTGAGAGGATTGACTCCAATTTTGAAGGAAGTTCTACTGTGGGAAAAATGCTGTCAAACAGCATCACATGCTACAGAAAAATCCTTTGTGAAAGGAAGAGTCAACTGATGTGGCAAACTTTATTATATTATCTTATTTTAATATGTTGCCACAGGTACCCCAACATTCAACAATCACCACCCTGATTGGTCAGTAGCCATCAGCATGAGGGCAAGCTCCTTCATCAGGAAGAAGATTATGACTAGTTGAAGTCTCCAATGATTGTTAGCAATTTTTAGCAATAAAGTATTCTTAATGAAAGAATGTACATTGTTCTTTTAGACATTGCTAAGCTGTTGCACACTTAATAGTCTATAGTATAGTGTAAACATAACTTTTATATGCACTAAAAAACAAAAAAAAATTGTGCAACTCAACTTATTGCAGCAGTACAGAACCAAACCTGCAATATCCCTGAGATGTGCCTGTATTTTTTTATAGCATTGCCTAGAACTGCCAGAGCAACATAGAATGTTGAATTGATAACAGAAACTCTTATCTATTCCTCTGACTTATAGTAATTCTTTTTTTTGTTTGTTTTGTTTTGTTTTTTGAGACAGAGTCTCACTTCATTACCCAGGCTGGAGTGCAGTGGCATGATCTCGGCTCACTGCAACCTCCACCTCCTGGGTTCAAGGGATTCTAGTGCCTCAATCTCCTGAATAGCTGGAATGACAGGCGTGCACCACCACACCCAGATAAGTTTTGTATTTTTAGTAGAGACGGGGTTTTGCCATGTTGGCCAGGCTGGTCTTGAACTCCTGACCTCAGGTGATCCACCTGCCTTGGCCTCCCAAAGTGTTGAAATTACAGGCGTGAGCCACCACGCCTGGCCTCATAGTAATTCTTTTGAGTCTTAACAATACATATGACGTTGTCTGCAGTATTAGATAGATAGTATTTAATGTTCTAAAAAGAAATCTTTTCACTTACATTACAGAATATTTACTTATTTTAAAATCAGACATCTTGGTTTACTTTTATTAAATTTTTAATAGCATCTAATTTATATGATATATTAGCAAGTCAATTTTTGTTGATTGATCTTTGCAATTACATAATAACATGTAACTTATTATGGCTTATTTTTAAATATACTTTTGAATTCAATTTACTGTTATTTACTTAGGATGTTTATCTTTATGTCATTAATAAAATTTTGATTTGTGGTGTTCAGTTGTGTGTGTGCACAAGGCTTTTTTAATCAGGCTTTGCTATCAGGGTTGAACTAATTTCATGAAATGTGATTTTGCACCTCGTCCTCCCTTCCCACCTCCCAGAAAAGACAGACTTCTGTGATATAAAATATTTAATTCTTAAAACAGCTTCTCCACACTTCTTTTATACATAAGGAAGCTGAGAGCTAGACAAATTAAGTAGTGTGACTTGTGTGTTGAGCTGGCACAACTGGGGAAATGTAATCAAAATTCATTTTGTTTTCCTCACCTTTCAAAGTATGGGACATATATTTGTTCTACTACTGGAAGAAAATTTTGGGGACTTCATAATTTTTATAGTCAATGATAAGCTCTATGCTTCCTTTAACTCACAAAACAGCCTCAGTTTGGCATTAGAACACCGAGTTCCTAAGTTGACTGAGAATTAAATCTTTTCGAATCTTTTAATTGGAGATGATTTTAGATAGATGTTGACACCTGCAGATTGGGCACACTTGGTATCTTCTTTCATTTTCTGCTTCTTCACCCTCCATTTGCAAAGCAGTTTCTGGCTCTTCCAAAGACAGTATGCAGAGAGGGAGAAAGTAAAAGAAGGCACAGAAAGTATATTAGTATTATGTAAGATTGTTTCACACTCTTTGATTCTTGGTCCTATTCATAGACGATTTTCCTGCCTGAGAAGTTCTGTGGGTTCTTCGGGGTCTCCCTATGCTAGGCCTTTTAGTTGTAGCCTCAGCAGCCATTTCTCTAGGCTCTGGTCTTTCCATGAGCCTCTCCATATTAAGTTCTAAGTGGCATGCCAGACAGAATTTGAAGTGGCTCAGGTCAGTTCTTAATCCTTCTTGGCTCAATGAGTGAGAAGCACTCATACATTCTGCGGTCGTAATGGGTAGGAGGCATTTTCTACCCCAAATGGCCTCCATTTTTCTCCAATTCACAACCTCAGGGCTTTAACACAGCTGCTTACCTTAAGATTTCTCAATATATGTCAGATAGCAGCCTCCTACTGGGCCCCAAGCTGCTGAAGACCCCATTAAAATCTCTGAACGCTCCTAGTGAAGCCTTTTTTTTCCCCCTAGATAAAAAGTGAGAGGCAGACAACTCAGCCCACTCCCAATGAGACCCAGAGCTTGGTAGCATCTCCTGCTAAAGAATTACCCTCTTGAAATCCACTCTCAATGCTTTCTTATTTTCAGAGTGGGTGAGGAATTTCAAGAGACCTGAAACAGCTCTTGACAATTGCTCATAAGGTGAGGCCCTGCTTCTGGAATTTCATATTTTTCATATCCTGGTACTCAGTTGCCATTTCATACATAACATCCTGTCTCAAAGCTGCCCAAGGTCCTCTAGAATGGGAGGGAAGAGCTGCACCTAGATCCTTTGATTTCTAGTCAGAACATCACCACTTCATGCTGCAACCTGTTCATGGAAATCATTTGCAACCATTGTCAGATGAGTTTAATATCTCATATTGTGCACCTCCCAGCAGTCAGCACTTCCATATTTACCCTTAAATTCAAGATGGAATGTCTATTTAAGCTAGAAGTAGATAAGTCTTAACAGTAAAATCATCTGGAAATCCAGTTAGTTACTATGGGAGTAACTTTTCTCTAGACATTAACTGTGATTTGATCGTTAAAGATAACATATATATCTTTCTGAAATAAGAGAGCAGGAATAAAACAGAGTAAAAATCCTTCATTTCTGGATAGATGATGTCTTATAGTATATATTAATTAGATAATAGAGTTATAACTAGCTTTATATAATGAACTGTTTTATGAATTGCAAAAACTTCTAAGTAAAATAATAAAGATTGAAAATAGCACTACTCATAATAGCAAAGACATGGAATCAACCTAAATGCCCATCAATGACAGACTGGATAAAGAAAATGTGACATATACAGTAAGAAATACCATGCAGCCATAAAAACGAACAAGATCATGACTTTTGCAGGAACATGGATGGAGCTGGAGGCTATTATCCTTAGCAAACTTTTGCAAGAATAGAAAACCAAATACAGCATATTCTCACTAATAAGTGGGAGCTAAATGATGAGAACTCAAGAACACAAAGAGGGGAACAACAGGCAGTGACGCCTACTTGAGGGTGAAGGGTAGGAAGAGGGGGAGGAGCAGAAAAAATACCTATTGGGTACTAGGCCTAAAACCTGGGTGATGAAATAATCTGTGCAACAAATGCCTGTGACATGAATTTACTTATATAACAAACCTGCACATGTACCCCTAAACCTAAAAGAAAAGTTAAAAAGTAAAAGAAAATAGTAAGAACAATAACAATAGCAAGGACCAAATGGCAAGCAAATAGTAAGTGCTTGGGAACAAAGTAATACTTACAGGAGCCATGTTATATTTGTTAATATAGTTATTTTCTATGAAGAACATGAAGCTCCCTATTGAAACACAGAGCACATACCTTGAAATATTTTTGAAAAACACTGTAAGTGAAACAGTGCTAAATTCATAAATGTTATTTTATTACTTAGCTTCTACTGATATGGTCTGATTTAAGTATTCTCTTTTACTTGTAATTACGACAGTTTCTTATTTTTAATATTTATACTGTAAATTTGGTATTAGTTTTATTTGGCTTACAGAAAACTTTTCTCCCAATTAGTTTACTCTTGCCAAGTAAATAATAGGTATATTACCAATGATGAAATATGAACATCTAAATTTTAAAAGTATATAATTCAGTGGACATTTAAGCATATTACCAAAGTGCCATTCACTTTAACATATGTTTTATGGCATATTTAAAAATATAATCGAATATGAAGATATCTGCTCAGTGTAGTCAGTTTTATAGCAAACATCTCTTGAAAATTTGATACAGTTGTATCAAAGGCTTTTGCTCTGCCGTTTTGCCTCATGATTAAAACATATGTTTATTGAGTAGCTACTATATGCATAACAAAGTTAAGTCCTAGGCAGGTAAATAAGGTACACCACCCGTGACTTCAAACTTTTAATTTTGTTGGCTAAAGAAAAACTTTCAGTGGAAAATAGTGAGTGATAATCCCAGATAGTAAATAATTTACAAATAGCCTTGTAATGGGACTTTACAAAAAAGAGATAGCACAGTATATAGGGGAGATGAATAAGACATGGATGAACTGGAAAATGAGTTAATCTTTCCTGATTTCAAAGGATCACAAATGATTGGGGGAGGAAATTCTCCACACCTACACACACACACACATCCATGAACTAAATTATGAAGGTGTGAATGCGTATGTTATATTTCAGATATACTGAATATGGCAAGAGCAAAGAAAACAAATACTAGAAGATAAATTGGAAGGGTGTTTTGGATCTAGACTGTGTTAGTCCCTTAATGCCAGGATAAGAGCTATCAGGTTTATCCTCAAGATAGGATTACTCAGTGGGAATCATAAAATGAAATCAACTCTAAAGAACTTTGGAAGGGGGTAAACCATTGAGAACTCATTAGGAAACTATTGCAGTAGTCTAGATTGAGGGTGTTCAAAGAACATCAAGTAGGCTATGGAGTGAGAATGAAGGAGAATGGGTGGATTCCAGATACACTGAGAAAGAAGCATTGATAGAATAAGGTACATGAATTGGTAAGGGGAGCAAGGAAGAGGGAACAATAACAGAACATGCAGTGGTCTATTGGGAGAGGTGGTGATGGCAGAGCCTACTCATCTGTAATCTTAATTAGAAGCTGGCATTCTCTTGAGAGAGAAACTCTAAAATATTACTTTCATTTACATATATTTTAAATGAGCACACGATTATATTCACATTTATAATTCTATGGTAAGAGTATACTATTGATTTGGAATTTTACTGCCTAGTTATTTTTCAATGGAAAAAAAGTTTAAAAATTTTCTTGAGGAAAGATTCCTTATTAATATACTCCTTTTAGGTAAAATGGAAACAAATTATTTTAGAAAGTTATGTATTACCCAAATGAAATACCACCAGTAAAATCAGATAATAGAAAGATAAACAAGTTTATCAAGACTGTGAATTTCCTTTTAATGTTACTTCTTATTTTAACTGCAAATCATAGCTACTTCCCCAGCAGAGAAAAAGTTATATTTAAATTCACAGAAAAATGCAAGTACCCCAAAAAATGTATCAGAAACAAAGGACAGCATCCCTAATACACATGAGCCCCTCCCTTAGGATCTCTTCCCAAAAGGCACACCCATTTCTCCCCATATCTCTTGTCCTGTCATCTCCTTGATCGTACTCATAGAGTTTCAAGTCAGCATCTTAGAATCTAAAGCTTTGGTAATGTCTAAATAAAGGACTGAATGTTAGAAACAATTGAGGTATAATGATTTGAGATGTATTTGCTGTAGTTACACATGTACTACTTTTGGGGAAGATGTTTCAGAGTAGTCTTGAACAATCCAGCAACCCAAAACGTACTCTAAAAGATTCTGGCTGTGTAAATATACTGCTTGTGGAATGCCGTTGAGAGCTGGATCAAACCTGAGTTACAGGAGTTGGTCCATAGGCTTTTTTTTACCCCTATAACATTTACACAGGGTAGCAATATTTTCATGGGCTGAAGGTTTTTAATTGTTTTTCCTAAAGCCATGAGTGCTTGCTTTTATATGATCATGATATTCGTATCAGTAAAATAACTTGTCTACTGTATTTTCATGCTGCTGATAAAGACATATCCAAGACGGGGCAATTTACAAAAGAAAGAGGTTTATTGGACATACAGTTCCACATGGCTGGGGAGGCCTCACAATCATGCCAGAAGGCAAGGAGGAGCAAGTCACATTCACATCTTACATGGATGTCAGCAGGCAAAGAGAGAGCTTGTGTAGAGAAACTCCCATTTCTAAAACCATCAGATCTCGTGAGAACCATTTGCTATCACGAGAGCAGCCTAGGAAAGACCTGCTCCGACAATTCAATCATCTCCTCTGGGTCCCTCCCTAGATGGAGGTCCCTAGATGACCCTAAATCATCTCTCTCAAGTTCAAAGTTCCACAAATCTCTAGGGCGGGGGCAAAATGCCACCAGTCCCTTTGCTAAAACATAACAAGAGTCACCTTTGCTCCAGTTCCGAACAAGTTCCTCATCTCCATCTGAGACCACCTCTGACTGGATTTCATTGTCCATATCACTATCAGCATTTTGGGCAAAGCCATTCAGCAAGTATTTGGCAAGTTCCCAACTTTCCCACATTTTCCTGTCTTCTTCTGAGCATTCCAAACTGTTTCAACCTCTACCTGTTACCCAGTTCCAAAGTTGCCTCCACATTTTTGGGTATCTTTTCAGCAGCACCCCACTCTACTGGTACCAATTTACCGTATTAGTCCATTTTCATGCTGCTGATAAAGACATACCCAAGACTGGACAATTTACAAAAGAAAGAGGTTTATTGGACTTACAGTTCCACATGGCTGAGGAGGCCTCACAATCATGATGGAAGGCGAGGAGGAGCAAGTCACATTTTACATGAATGGCAGCAGGCAAATAGAGACCTTGTGCAGAGAAACTCAGGTTTCTAAAACCATCAGAACTCATGAGACCCATACACTCTCATGAGAACAGCACGGGAAAGACCTGCCCCCATGATTCAATTATCTCCCACCAGGTCCCCACAGGTGAGAATTATGGGAACTACAAGATGAGATTTGGGTAGGGACACAGAGCCAAACCGTATGTACTAAAAACAAACAAACACAGACCTTGAAAGGCTACAGTTAGTTACTGTTTAATACCTTAGGTTGCAACTGTTGTTTCATACCATTACAAAACCAATAAAGCAAGCCAGGGCCAGGCGTGGTGGCCCACGCCTGTAATCCCAGCACTTTGGGAGGCCTAGGTGGGTGGATCACTTGAGGTCAGGAATTGGTGACCAGCCTGGCCAGCATGGCGAAACCCCATCCCTACTAAAAATACAAAAATTAGCTGGGCGTGGTAGTGCGAGGCTGTAATTCCAGCTACTCAGGAGGCTGAGACAGCAGAACCGCTTGAACCCAGGAGGCAGAGGTTGCAGTGAGCCGAGATCCCGCCACTGCGCTCCAGCCTGGGCGAGAGAGTGAGAGTCTGTCTCAAAAAAAAAAAAAAAAGAAAGCCAGTATGGGTTGCAAACATCAATAAAGTTTCCAAACATCAATAAAGAAATAAGAGCTAAATTGAGAGGATTATCTAGCTGTTAACATAAGTAGTTTCATAATTTTTCCTAGAGTCAATGAGAGTAATTGAGAAAGAATGGCTTTGCACATTTTGGGAGGACAGTTTATTTCAATCTCAGAAAGAACTCTTTGCTCCCTGTTCTTTTTAAAAACATGCCCTTCCCCCCCCACTTATTTTAGTTTTTCCTGAGCTTTATGTAGGTGAGTCAAAGTATATGTGCTAGATTTTCTCAAGCTGTAAGTGATTTATTGAGTAAAATTTAAGGTTATCTTAAAAATGTATATTACAAGACTTTTTGTTTATAAATGTTAAATAATGTAGTTTTATCCATCACAAATTAGACTCTTACCCAATTACTCATTTATAATTTTTTCAGATCACAGCCAAATATTTTGTAAACGAATGAATTGTATTCACCAAAGAACATAAGGGATGCCCTCCTGTATTAAAATGTTAATAAGAACTAACCAATGCAAAATTGGTGTTGTTTTAGCATAAAAAATATTTATTTATATATCATTGTGCATGTTATTGCCTCATTCAGAAATATTTTCTACATATAAGTGGTTAACGAGATATGGACCTAGCATTTAAACTAATTACTAATGTTGTTGTTTTAAAACCATATCCTAATTATGTAACAGATGAACTCAAACTCAGATTTCAGGGGCTTTCAAAATTCATTACTTTTTTTTTTTTGAGACAGAGTCTCACTCTGTTGCTCAGACTGGAGTGCAGTGGCACGATCTCAGCTTACTGCAACCTCCGCCTCCCAGGTTCAAGAGATTCTCCCACCTCAGCCTCACAAGTAGCTGGGATTACAGGCACATGCCACCATGCCTGGCTAATTTTCATATTTTTAGTAGGGGTGGGGTTTCGCCATGTTGGCCAGGCTGGTCCCAAACTCCTGACCCCAGGTGATCCGCCCGCTTTGGCCTCCCAAAGTGCTGGAATTACAGGCGTGAGCCACCACACCCAGCCCATTACTTTCCTTTAGAGTAAAAACTATGATAAAATTTTGTAGTGCCTAATTATGCCTAAGGTCTCAGTCCTACTTAAGCCGTATATTATTTGGTATGACATCCTTTCAAATCGTGATTAGTGGAAAATTTTGGTCAGAAGTGATGCATTTTTCTATAGTCTGAGTAGCCAATAAACTTCATTTGAAAACGGTTCCCTCAAAAACCTTGATATGACTGGTGAGTAGGCAAATGCAATTTTTTAAATATATATATACTTTTATTATACTTTAAGTTCTAGGGTACATGTGCACAAAGTGCAGGTTTGTTACATATGTATACGTGCCATGTTGGTGTGCTGCACCCATTAACTCGTCATTTACATTAGGTATATCTCCTAATGCTTTCCCTCCCCGCTCCCCCTACCCCACAACAGGCCCCGGTGTGTGATGTTCCCCTTCCTGTGTCCAAGTGTTCTCATTGTTCAATTCCCACCTATGAAATGCTGCTATAAAGACACATGCACACTTATGTTTATAGCAGCAAATGCAATTTTTAAAATTGTCTAGTGAGGTCTCATATTGCTTGTTCAGATATTTTCTTCTAACATTGATTGAAAGGTTCCTTAAACTTAGAACTTTGAACATTACCATTTGAAGATAAAGTATTTAAATGCAGCAGGACTATTATAGGGCATTATCTTAGGCATCTATAAAACTAATCTATTATATATGGTATCATGGGGTGAATTTTCATTTACCTGGCAATGATTCCTCTCTAGAGATAGATAAAATCTTTTAGCCATTAGAGCCTACAGTAGAAACTTAGTTTTTATGTATATGCATATACACATTTTAATACATATGTGTGTGTATATATACACATATGTTGTTGCATATAAACTATATATGTGTATATATAACAATATATGCATATATTTATATGGCGATGATATGTTCTTATATATGTCTATACATTTTATATACATATGTGTGTATGCATACATATGTATAAACATATATGCATATATGTATTTGTATATATGTATATGTATACACATATGTATATACACATATACATATATACATGTATATGTCTATATGTGGATGATGAGTGTGAACCAAAGGCACATACATATATGTATATACTATATATGTATATATTTGCCTTTGTTTATATGTTTTCATATATATGTGTGTGTATATATTTGCCTTTGTTTCATACTCATCATCCACAAATTACTTACCTACTTTTGTAATAGTATTGTCTACTTTTCTGTGAAATTTTTTAGGCGAGGTTTAGAAAGTATATGACAAAGGCATTCTGTCTTAACTGCTATTCTGCTGCTGCCATCTTTCATCTTGCCCTGTGTCACCGCATTTGCACATTTATGCACTGCATCAAACTGCTTGATGGTTTTTATTTTTCTGTTTAGGCAGGAGGATGGTGACTTTTATTTACCTGTTGCACTTTGTTCTTGATGTATGATGTTAACCTTACAAGGTCTCTGTTTCTTTGTGCTCACCATCATTCCCTTCATGAGTTTCTCTTTGCATGTACTTCACAATGTTGCATTTTTTCCATCAGTTTCCCAATCCTAAGGAAAGGTGTTAAGGTTTCTGAGGCTTTCTAAAGCTTTGCTACATATAGTATGGTCCACAGATCAGCAGCATCAAGATTACCTGGGAGCTTGTTAGAAAAGCAGAATCTCAGCCACACCACAGACTTGCTGAACCAGAATCCGTATTTTTAGCCAGATCTTTGAATAAATAGCACATACATAAATGAGAAGCACTGCACTAAAGGGTCTGCCCCAGCTCCAAGTCCTCTGAAATCTCATCTATATGTTCTTTCTGATCATGTGGTTGTATAAAATACCATCCCCATGGATTCTTCTAACATCAGAGCGAGGACTGCATCACCTGGTATCAGCTGTTTGTGTTTACATACGTACTCACATTCCAGTGATTTTTCTGATCTCTCCTCTCAGCACTTTGGATTTGGGTATTCATCCTGACAACTTGGTTGTGAGTGAAAAGGAGAGGACTGTGTTTACGAAACAATAGACTAGAGGCTTCTCTCTGTCATTTTTGATTTCCACATTTCAAAATCATCCTCTTCTACTTACCTACCTACTAGGTAGAGAATGAATTAGACATGCTTATTAATGCAACTCTTACTAAACTACTGCTGCCCCAGCAACAAAGCCTCTTTTAAATTTAACCCCATCTTTCTCCTACTGCAAGTGGGTATTTCTTGTGTGAAGCCTGCAATTTTGATTGGGAGAAACAAGTTTCATTTGTAGGATTGGGCATATTATTACGAGAAGAACCTCAGAAAAATAGTAATCTAGAGCCTGGCATGGTGACTCACACATGTAATCCCAGCAACTCAGGAGGCTTAGGTGGGGGCATCATCGCTTGAGCCCAGGAGTTTGAGGCAGCAGGGAGCTATGACCGCACCCCTGCACTCTAGGCTAGGAGATGGAGAGAGACCTCAACTCTTTAAAAAAAAGCATAATCTATTCTGCAGTACAGTAGGAAGTAAAAGATGTTTCTACAACTTGTTCCTATTCCAAATCACAGTGATTTTATTGTTAGTTTGGTTAGAAAATGGTTTGCTGGAGCCTTAGCAAAATACTGTACTATGAATGCTCTTGTATTTTGTAATTTTCCATTGTGTTTTGCAGTCCCCGCCTGGCCAAATGACTTGAAGTGATTTTTCAAAGGAAAAAGCTATACTATACATTTCAGTACAGAATCATCATGACATAGAAATGGACTATTTTTCTTTAACTGTGCCTATTTGTCTCCTGAACATGGTAGAGATCTTTCACACACAGTAAATATATAACTGTTTGTGAGAATAAGAGCCAGATGATGACTTTATGTTCTTTTATGGAAGGATATTGCAACTGACAGTTAAACAATCCAAAAAATAAAATGGACAAATAATATATATTATAGTTTGTGATGTGTCAGAACTACATACATAGTGAGATAGTCTCTAAAGAATTGTGAGACAGGTTGCTGATACAGAGGTGAATTAATAAAATTCATCCATAAGCCCATAATAGAAATTGATCACATATAAGAGGAATTCTCAGCCTCCTGGTCAATTAAGAATTCAGAAAGTCTAGAATTATTGAATCTGATTTAACTAAATCATAGGCCAATATAAAGATGCAATTGTGTAGGTATTATCTTTCATTTCCAAAGATACTTGTACTGTTTCCCTAGACTGACACAAAAACCTCATATAAACTCAATATTATGAGTAAATAGTGTTTATTTAATATCCATATCTACATAAAAATAACATGTTGCCTTTGCAAAAAAATTAATGTTATTTTTAAGAATTTGGTTATTATAAAATAAAATTAAACCAATATTAAATATGAGTTACATTTTAAATTAAGCTATATTTTATATTAATGTTAGTTTAGGATTTCTGATTTTGAAATTGTGTTATCTGTTTGCAAAGACACAATCTAAAGCTTAGCATTTTAAAATTAAATTTTTCTGTGAAAATGTACAAAGACTATAAATTCAAGGAAATATAATGTTTAAAATTAATAATTCATTTTAAATTGTATACTGTTTATACATAACTTTTTTATGGTTTTGATATTGGTTGTCTTGATTCTTATGCTAAAGAGAGCCCACATGCAATATTCTATGATAAGGATTCTACTCTGGGTCATTCTGAAAATAATGGGGACACTGTTGGTCGTTGCAGTTATTGAGAAGATCTAATGGAATTTACTAGACAGAAGGCAGGATTTTAGATATCTTGCACTGCATAGGCAGTCCTTACAAGGAAGAACTGTCCTGAATACTGCATGACCTTTAAATATTCTTCCAGGTAGACATTTTGGAAGTAGAAAATCTTACTGAAAATCTAAGTCTAGGATTTATCTCAATTATATATTAAAACAAAGTACATTGGCATCATTTTAATATGTGCAAAATTTTCTATGAAGACAGAAAACATCTATAAGACTAATCAAAATAATAAAAAAATTCAGTGCATATAATTTGATAAGCTTTAGCTCACCATTTTGGAAAATCCTGTCAATCATCAGTAACATCCAGTGATGAGTAAATACTCTGTGTTTTATAGCTGTGTATTAATGGCAGTTTTTCTTAAAGGAGCAAATATCTAATGAGGTCACTATATTATCTAGTAATTGTTTCCAAGTGTTTAACATATTGAAATACATGCACACACATACATACAAACCCACACATGCATACACACACATACATACAAACACACACACATTCCATAAATTACTTTCTTCTCATTTATTTTTTGTATTATAATTGATGTCTTAGGGTATTGAATTGACATTTAAAAATTATTTGTGTAGGTAAGTTCAATTACCTGTGAATTTTAGTTTAGGGTAATAATGGGGCATTACAGCATATTTATTATAATATGGAGTATGTTGGGTCTGATAGTGTTGAGAACCACTGTCCTAGGAGCATTCTATATCAGGTAGATTTATGTCTCCCAGCAGGTCACTTGTAATATAGCCAATTGTTCAGCAAATGTTTACTTTGGTAGAAGGGCAAATGTACATAACACAGAAAAATGTAGGGTAGTGTGTCTTGGGTTTTTGTTCTCATGCACACTTACTTGCTGGGTGATTTGGGGTGAGTCAGTAAATGTCCCTGGGCCTGAATTTTTCTTCTACTAAATGAGAGTGTTGGACTTGATGAACTCTAAAATTTTTTAGACACCATGTCATTATAGGCAGAAATTTATTTCCATAGGATAGAATCTATACACTGAAACCTTCATATTACATTTGCTGTGCTCATAGCTTTCGATGCCTGTTTTCTGGTCTTTTTTTTTAAACACTGAATTAAAACCTATGAAATAATATGAAATTAATTTTTCTGTAATATATTTTCCACTAAATATAAAACAACTTAAGTTTTATTTTGATGAACATACTAGCAGCATGATGAATATTTGTAATGATTGCAAACTCTTCCCTGACAAGTCCAATGCCATGAGTTTTTATTTTTAACACACACATAAACATACACATATATATGATAGTGGGTGTGAATGCGTGTGTATACATACATAGATTATGTATAAGCATGTATATACACATATGCACATAGATATGTGTATACCTATATACCTGTATTTGTGTGTATATATGTGTACACATATATAGAGAGAGATTGATTTACAGCTGATATCTTGGAAGGTACATGCAGTTGTATATTTTAATGGCTGATTTCCTTGAAGCCCAGACAAGATTTTCTGAGTGAATATATATTAAATACATGGCAATACGTGAGAAAATTACTTGTCCCCAGGTCATGTAAAGAGTTGGTTAAAAAAGGGCACATTCATCTTTATCTTTGGGGTAAACCAGCATTCTCTCCTTCAATTCCCATTTTCTTCTTCTTTCAGCCACATGGACCTTACCATCTTTTTTCTTTAAATTATCAAGAGGAGACCACAAGATGAGGAATACTTCACTGCAGGTGGTGATATGAAACTGACAAGTAGTTTATAAACTAGCCCTACCCTATTGCTTGGAGAAGCTTTATAACTGATTGTTTTAATACCAAAGTGACACCAAAGGGGGTCAAGTAAATAAATATGCAAGCCTCACCAGTTCAAAATAATAAAATTCCAATGTGTGCAAGCCTGCTTGTTGAACATATGTTTGAGGCACGGCTAAGCCATCTGGCTCAGTGTCAAGCATTTACACCAACTGTAGTCTTACAGTACCTGACAGCAGAAAAGCTTTATTCCCCTGGTGTTTGGGCACAAATGGAGAAATATTATTGAAATGATTATCTGCATCAAGACTCAGATTTGCTTTGACATTTAGCTGGCTCTGTTTAATCCAAAGGGTTGTCTGAATGAATAAAGAGAAGGGTTCCTCCAGAAGATGCTGCGAGCAGCCAGGGAAAGCCAAATGATTAATGAGACTGAAAGGCAGGGTGGACCTGCCCACCTCCACCCAGACCTCAGTGCCAAGAACTGAATATGAAATTAGTCTAAAGCTTTCCGTGGCTTGTCAGGAAGATTCTTCTACCCTCACATGGGCTCTCATTTTGGACTCTGGAACAAAAGAAATGGATACCTTACCCAATATGGAGGAAATAGAGAGGCTGGGAGAGTGCTTCGTGTTATAATCAGAACATTTCACATTCAAACACTTTTTGCTTTTAACAGCTCTACCAGAGGCATTTAGATATTACGTTAGGAGTAGAGTCTCTTTTCGGAATTAGAAAGCTGCGGCTTGTCGCCTGGTTTCTGTTTTGGCAGCTGGTTTCTATATGCTATGGTCCTTATATCAAGATAATTTCTTTTGGCTTAGAATGCTATGTTCCTCTGGTTATTCTGTGTTGCCATTCATTTTAAGATGCTATATTAAGCTGAGTTACTTGAAAAACGAGGTACAGTGCTAGTTTTAGCATTCACCTGTGCTAGCAAAATTCAGGCATTTAGCCAAAAAAGAGACATCTTTCATAGTCAAAGACAATTAGCAATAAAATAAAATATTAATTTTAAAATAAAACAGAATAATAACAACAATAATAGAATAGGCATCTTAATTTGGAAATCTTTATCAAAGATTTATAGGTTGTCACTTATTTCTTCAGGTATATTGTACCTTTTGGAGGGAGAATTTTAGTAATGATTGTTGATTTAGATTTGAAATTACTTTGGTGATTTGGTTTTAATAAGAATGTTAGGCATGATTTCTTTCTCACTCTTACTTTTAATTAACTTTTTATAGAGATATGAATGAATTCTAATGAACACAATTGGCAAGCTAATTGATTTGTTTCAGATCACAGTGAGCGATCAGTATGCTGGCAACATTGATATACTATTCAAGGATGTCAAACAGTTTTTGGGTTAATTTTCTGGCAGAGGTTAGTTGGGGAAACTGCTTAAAATATGTACTGTTTTTGATTTTCAACTAAGTGCCTGGTTTTTTAAATATTCAGTGAATTAAAAGATATCTATTCCTTTGAATTTATAGTGTCTTTAAATTATCACACTGCCACTGGGGAGTTGCTTTGTGTATTCTGTGCATATTAACAGAATACTTTTACATGTGTTATGCACATGAGAATATTAAAGACCATTTTAAGAAGATAAAGAACTCCTATTGCAAAAAGAAAGCCAAGAATATGATCCTCTGTTTAAAAAATTATTTTTAAAAGTTGCCTCAAAATCAAGAGTGGTCAAAACAAGTCCTGAAAGCATCCATTTAAAGAAAAATAAAGCACAACTCCAAGAGGTTACTGTTTTGCCAGAGTTCTCACTTTAAAGGTTTTGCTTAAATAAATCCCAGTGAAATGACATTCTTTTACAGTGTTAAGAACAATGAGCGGGTGAGAAAATATATTATGACATAGTTAAACACAAGGCTATAATTTCTAAACTGCATAAATTACATGTTTTCCCTATTATGATACAGACAGCCAAACTGAACATTTTTGAAAGAAAATGACCAACGTATGATTAATTGCAAGCTCACAGATTTTGCAGCTTCAAGAGTAAATCAACTGCTAAGAAGTGCTAACTTGCTAAAATATAAACTAATTTTAGTCTCTAGATATTAAAATATAATTCATCTTCCTCCTCCATTGGGAAAGCTAATTAGAAATTGTGACTGGCAGAAGGAGGAGAACCCAGAGAACACAAGGATTAAGTTCACACGCTTAAAACCTGAGCCCGGAAAAAGTGGCCAGATTTTTTATCCTTTACGTTTCACATATTTGAGTTTCCTGAAACCAGCTTACGGTAATGGCTGCTGCCCAAATGTGCAAGTGACAGAAGAGAGAATTTGTGAAAAGAACACGTTTAGTTAACATAGAATGCTATAAATATAATGTGGAGATATAGAGAAATGGCCCATGGATTCCATTTGTACAAATTCTCAAAAAAATCTGATTGTGCACATGTAACACATCTAACTGCTAAGGTTTTGGAAAAGCCTTCAGATAAGTGGCAATTGTGTTTTGAACCTCTGTATTCTAGGAAATCTCACAAACTTGTGAGCGAGTCTTGACTTCAAGTTGGCTTTACCTGGGCTCTGAGCATTCTTTCACTGGAAGTTAAGGTAAACATTTACAGGGTTGGAAATGCATAATGAATAAATAGACTGTCTTACACATTCAGAGTTCTCATTGATAATTTCATATTTCCTATTTTGTATGGCTAGGGTCTTATTTCACAGAATTGTTATTTTGACACATTTCTTAAAGCATAAGTACACTATTAACCCATTTCACAGTATGAATGTGAGATTTTTCAACTGAAAACAATGGACATAGCAGAAATGCAAAGGGAAGTTTCCTTACCAATATGATAATTTAGTGTGAATAAGTGAGTGAATTAGAATTGCAGTTTCAAGGAGCAACAGTTTTATAATAGTAACACATTTTTTAAAATTTGCCACTGAAAAAAGAGATTCAGGCAAACATTTCATAATAGAAATAGAAGACTACCAAATATGAAGTTGATATTCTATGAACATTTAGAAAAATTCTTCAATGGATATTTTCATGTACATTTGGGATAAATGTATAAGTCTGACATTAAGATTAGTTGCAATATAGCTCTTAAAGAATAGCATGAATTTCCCTAAAGAATTTTCAGTGAATTCAGTATGCATAACAAGACAATGAGTTTCTTGTTGAGTTTTGTTCCAACTAAACTTACACACATTCCTTTCCCTGCCCTTAATGAGTAATGATTTTAACTGGCCAGGATTCCAAACTCTAAGATAATATTCCTAATGAAAATAGTAATTGTGAGAGGCATTCTACATAGAGATTAATAACTAGACCGCGAGGGTTTTATTTTGGCTCTACCATTTCCCAGTTGTGAAATATTGGAGAAATTATTTACAATATCTGCCTAGTTTCCTCATCTACAAAATAAGAACAACAATAGTACATACCTAATAGCATTGTTACAAGGATTCAAGATATCAATACCTGTTGAATATCTGGACTAGTGCTTGGCACATAGTATGTGATTAATAATTATTAAACCACATACGTATCCCCAACATTATATGTTATAGCCAATGTATAACATGCATGAGCCTATGGAAACAAAATTTTCCTTCTTACAATAAGGTTCTTTGTCTTTGGGTCTTCTACATAAGGTAGCATGAAGCCACGATGATCTGGTAAGATGAAATGAGGGAACAGGTATGAAAACTTGCACTCCTACAAAATCACACCCATGTCTAAGGATACATGTCATGTAGAGAATGGAATATATCACTCTGGTTTTTAGTTCATGACTATAGGATTTTATTCAGAGGTTTATGATTTAGCACAAAAAACTGTATTATTTTTAAAGCACCTAACACTAATTCATCAATCATATAAAGATTAACAATTATAATATGGGCATTCTTCTCTAAGAAGCATTGTTGTTTTGAACACCTACTTTGTGCCAAGCACATTTATTTCAGTTGATGCTAATTATCACCACAATACAAAATGTTTAACATTATTATTGTTCCCACTTTGAATATGTATAAACATTTTCAGAGAGATTATTTAATGTACTCTGGGTCATAAACTTGTTAACAGTGGAGCCAGTATTCAAATGCAAATTTATTTAAGTTTAAAGCCAGTGTTATTTCTACCATTATATATTACAGGAGATAAGAAAACAAGATTTGAAATATGATCATGCTTCTAAAAAAATTAACTTTTCTGTTCTTTGATTTGGCAACCTGTAAAACGTGTGAAAGGTGAAAACACTGTATTTATTTATATATTTAATTTTTTAAGAAGCAGGGTCTTTCTCTGTCACTCAGGCTGGAGTTCAGTGGTACGATCATAGCTTACTGCAGCCTGGAACTCCTGGGCTCATGTGACCCTCCTGCCTCAGCCTCCTGAGTAGCTGGGACTATAGGTGCACTACCAGGTCTGGCTTAAGATTTTTTTTTTTTTTTTTTTTTTTTTTTTTTGCAGAGATGGGGTCTTGCTATGTTGTTCAGGTTAGTCTCTAACTCCTCCCATCTTGGCTTCCCAGAGTGCTGGGATTACAGATATGAGCCCTCATGCCTGGCCCTGTGGAAAATTTTAACTCAAGACTCTTAGTCAAGAACCTGAAAATACTGGGTAAAAGTAGCTGTAGATGTCATCTCATTTATCTGAAGTACCGTTTTCTCACATTAACTCTTTCAATTTCATTGCCACATCAGATCATCAATGCTCTTAACCCAATGTTCTCTGAATTGTATCAAATTATCCTAATTGTTCTTTGTAGCAGCACAAATCTGCTGCAGACTACTCTAATCCATCCCGGACCAATCCCTTGACATGCAGGACAAAATGAAAATGTCTTACATATGTTATTGAAATCTCAGAAAGAGTAGAAAAAAAGAATGGGGTGGAAGCAATATTTGAAGAAATAACGTTAAGATTTTTCAAAATTTAAAGTGTATCAGATTCAAAAAATTCTACAAACCCAAGCAGGTTGAGCATAAGGAAAAACACACCTAGACACACAGAGAAAGATAGCTAGATACTGAAGACAAAGAGAAAATATTAAAAGCAATCAGAGAAGAAAAGACATGTTACTTTCAATGAAGTGGCAGTTAAAGGGACAGCTGACTCTTCAACAGAAATGGTGGAAATAAAGACAATAAAATTACATAAAATGCTGAAAGAAAATAGCTATCAACCTAGAAGTATCCAACACAAATATAAAATTGCACAAAGCAATGGAGAGCAACCAAAAGGGTAAGTATATGGTTAAATATAAGTGGATTTTGATTGGCAGTGAATATACAGAACAATAATAGTAATGTTGGAGAACTTTATATATATGTAGAGCTAAAATGCATGACAATAATAACATAAAAATTGAGAAAAGTAAATTGAATTAAGACATTTAAAAATTTTACCACTCTTGGTAATGTGGTAAAATTATTAATTTTAATAATAAATCAATATACAATAAATCAAGGGTGTATCTTCTAGGGTATCCATTAAAGTAATGTTAAATTATGGAGGGGAAATAGAGTAATGAAGAAAAAAGACAAGAAAAGAAATATAAGTAGCATAAAAGGCAATTTAATGGAAACAGATGAATAGTAAATACAAACCTAAATGTATCATTATTTTCTGACTGTAAATTTACTAAATATTGCAATTTAAAAGACTGAAGTTGTCAGATGGGATAATATGTAGCAAGAAAGGAAAAGGCAAAAACAAGGAAGGAAAATATACTAGCCAAAAGCAAAAAGTAAACACAGAGAAACAAGCAAGAGTAATCTGCCTTGATAAAGCAAAGGGCTGTGAGTAGCAGAATTATACTAGAGCAGAAGTAACAAGAATGGGAAGAAGGAATCCGCTGAGAGTGGGGAAGCTTAATGAGAAAGCGACATTATTATGAAGGAAGGAGAAAGAAATTAGTTAAATTTACAAAAAAATGAATTAAAACAACATAGTAGTGTGTGGAAACTCATACAGGATTTATTAAAGCATGAATAACGCACTAACTTTTAAGTTCATTTTTGTTTCCAGCAGTGTTATTATTGAAGCTTATAATAATGACCAGTACTTATCAAGAAAAGGTTAAATTATGTTCAGTATACAGTAGTTTCAGAGATTATGAAATATGTGATATATTTTGGGAAATTTTCCATCCAAATAAGGAAGCAGTGCTGCAAAAAGTGATACCTGTACATTAAGTAGAAAATCAGGATCCTCTCCCTCACGACTCTAATGGTAGCTCCTTCTTTTATGTTGGAATAATGAAGGACATGAACTTCATGGCATGGGGAACTAAGTTGGGGACATGAGAATCATTTAAAATCAGCTGATAAAAGAATGTGGAAATGGTCCTAAAATATGTAATAGAATTGTTAGAGTCATGTTTCTCAAAATTTGAAAGGCACATGAATTATCTGATGTTTCTGTTAAACTGAATATTCTTATTCAGTAGGTCTGTGGTGGAGCCTGAGATTTGCAACAAATTGTCAAGTGATGGACAACACTTGGGGTAGGCAGGTTGAGACAACACGGAACAGAAGGTTCTTATGATAATAACCAAGGGTCAATGATGAAAGTAACTTATTTATTTTATGAACATTGCCCCCATGGCTCTATACTCTGTCTAATCAAAAGATACTCAATAGATCCCAAAAGGAAAAATACACCAAAAGAGCAGGCCATTCAGGAGATTTAGGAAACTTATAAAAATGGAACAAATATGCACTAAATTATTTCCACTAAGATAATTTTTAAATGCATTTGGAATTCTTATTTATTTCTACAAAGCAAAAGCCTTTTAATGCTGCACTTGTGTCTCAGAACTATTAAATTCAACTTGGAAAAAAAAATGCTTCCTTAGAAAAATTCTTACAGGGAAGCTGCAGTCATTTTTGATTATGATTTCTAAACTACAATTCCTACCAAATTTCATATAAAATTAAAACCCAGGGTCATATAAAGCTGCCAATCAAAACATTGGCAAATGAAAAATGCACACAGTAAACATTTGGGAAAATAACGTAGCAGTTTTCTCCTTTTATTAAATTTTGACTGAACAAATGGTAAGTGCTTTGGTGTCAGAGAAGCTGCAAGAAGAAAAGGCAATGAGGTTGGAAGCAGTGTGTTATAAAGATTAAGATAACTATATTCAATTATCTTACTTGAGTATTCCCCTTACCCTCTAATACCCCTGTCCTCTGAACAAAACTTAATCAGTAGTTTTAAAACCTGAACATTTCTGGGAATTCTTCATGTTGCCTTATTTTTGTGACTTTTTAGCTCTGCAGATAGTATGAAGAAATCAAGACCACTAAAATATAAAATAGTTTTTCTAAAAAAATACCAAGAGTAATAAAGTATACTGAGGAGTCTTAAAAGGAATCTGATTCTTACTGAAAGTTCTATTTATATAGGGTTTAAACCAATATTGTTTAAAACCAACAATCATCTTTCCATTTAATCCCATGGTCAGAGTAATGAGAGGAAAACTACATAAAAACATTAAAGTAAGAAATACGAAAATTTAGAAGAAAGACATGAATTTGCATCATCAGAATTGGGAAAATCTAATTAGAAGAAGGAAAATAGTAATAGAATCTTCAAATAATTTTTTGGAGAGCTTTATATAAAGGTAAAGATGAAATAAGAAACAATTTAGCACAACAGGGAAAAGAAATATTGATTAAAATCCTGATGGAGTTCTTACAAAATAAATATTATATTATAAAAAGAAGGAAAGGAGAAAAGTTGTTCAAGTTTAGAAATGAGAGGAACTCCTAGAAAATACACTTTTTAATTCATAATTTTTAATATAGAATACGTAGAATAAGATAACTTTAAAATGTGTTTTTACACTGCAATTAGTTTCTAAAGACCTTAGTTGACTAAAATAACAATCAAAACAGCACCATTATCCTCCTCCACAGTTACTTGTACACAGCTACGTAACAGACACTTTTCTAGACCCTGAGAACCCAAAAAGTATAAAATATGGTCAAGTGCTGTAAGTAATAACAATCCAGTGGAGTGGAGAATATATCATCTAATTTATTCGTAAATTTATGACTTTATTCAATCTGTACCAGTGCAGCGAGTATCAATCTGGCACAAGAGGCCAGGGAAGAAAGGATGAGTACTATAGAGTTCTTGGCTTCAAGGAGCTTATACTTCAATGGGAAAAATAAATCATGTGCATAAATTAGGTATAATTAGAAGACATCAAATGATTATTTGATTATTCCTCTGTTAGCTGCGGAATCAAGCATAGGTATTGAGACAGGCCCCTAAAGATTTCTGGAAAGAATATTGAGAGTTTTCAAAGAAAGGGAGAGATAATATGCCACATGATGCCAGTGTTAGAACTATTACTTATGGATGATGAGAACAAAGAATGTTTTCTTCAAGAAGTGGCTTAAAAGCCAAGTATGAAAAAATTAATAAGGTTTGAACAGAATGATTAAACAGGGAAGGCTCATGTGGCAAAGCGAAGAGCAGGGACACTGAAATAGGAAAAATAGGAAAAGCATAAGGGAAATGGAAATAAAGATGGCCATGGTTTGGCTTGAGTATAAGAATGCATATAAGGAGACCTTCAATGGAGGTGGCATGTGAGTTCATACATTAAAAATACACATTCTGTCTCTTGCTAGCTCATGTATTTTTAATGTATGAACTCACAAGCCACGTGCCTATCGATGATAGACTGGATAAAGAAAATGTGGCACATATATACCATGGAATACTATGCAGCCATAAAAAAGAATGAGTTCATGTCCTTTGCAGGGACATGGATGAAACTGGAAACCATCATTCTCAGCAAACTAACACAGGAACAGAAAACCAAACACTGCATGTTCTCACTTATAAGTGGGAGTTGAACAATGAGAACACGTGGACACAGGGAGGGGAACATCACACACTGGGGCCTGTCGGGGGGTGGGGGGATAGGGGAGGGATAGCATTAGGAGAAATACCTAATGTAGGTGATGGGTCGATGGGTGCAGCAAACCACCATGGCCCATGTATACCTGTGTAACAAACCTGCACGTTCTGCACATGTATCCCAGAACTTAAAGTATAATTTTTTTAAAAAACATACTCGAAACACACCACATGCATGCACACCCTGCCAAACATCAAACAATGATAGGTAAAATATTTCATAAGAGAAAACAATCAGATGTAAGAACAAAAGGACCATTTCTGTGAACCAGAAACTGTCAAATATAATCAGTAATTGCTGAAGTAGCTTGTCTCCCCAAGTAAGAAAGAAGAGTCTGGGAATTCAACTGGTGCAATCTAATGGAAATTACTCCATCTGAGGCAGGAGATTATAGCAAGTATGGTTGCTTTCTGGCTGAGAAGTATCAATAGCTGCCCAGGCTGGCCTGTGACTGTCCTGCCCTCCCGGACATTCTCTAGAACTAGAGTCCAAAGAGACCAGTAGTCGAAATTGAAGATTCTGAGAT
Organism: Homo sapiens; assembly: GCF_000001405.40. NCBI lineage: Eukaryota > Metazoa > Chordata > Mammalia > Primates > Hominidae > Homo > Homo sapiens. The sequence goes on from NC_000002.12 coordinate 156,873,673, forward strand.
CCTAAATACTATGTAAGGAAGAGTGGAAATTGAGTGAGAAAAATAAAATCTCACTCAAGAAGAGCTTCCAAAGTAAAATTTCAAGAGACAAAATAAAATAGAACACCAAGAAAGATAACACTCAAACAAAGGGAAAACAGAAAATAGAGCACATTGAAAATATTGAAAAATAAATATGTTTAAAAAAGTTAAAGAAATATGGATAGGAATATCATTAAAATAGAAAATTATGAAAGAGAAGTTAGCAGCTAGGAATAATGAAAGAGTGCATATGAAAAAGAACAAAGTAGAAATCATGTAAATAATCAATGAAAAAAAGATTACTGCCAAAAAGAGGATTACTAAGTTGAAAGATGGATGGGAAAATTATTCAGAACACCACTTCAAGAGATAAGGTTTAAAAATATGACAAAAAAGGCAACATTGTAGCAGAATGACAATAGAGAGAATGATAAACAAGAAGCAAAAAGATAATGACTGAGAATTTTCCATAATTAAAGAAAACCTTAAGCTCTAAATTCAAAAAATAAACACAGATTTTTAAAAATGCCCAGACACATTGTCTGAAACTGTAAGACATTATAAACAGAAATACTTAAACATATCAAGAAAAAGGAGAACACTTACAGTAGACAAATAGATCAGCAGCACAGTTTTACTAGCAAAAAGATATGCCAGAAGATAGAATAATATCTCCAAACCATCCAGCTAAACTTTTAAATGTGAGCACAAAATGCACACTTGCAGATTTATAAAGACAGCATTTGCCACTCATTGGCCTTCACTGAGAGAACTACTAAGGGACTATTGATACTTCAGCAAGAAAAATAGTCGTTCCATTCACTCCATAGCAAATGCTTTATGAGCACAACCTATATGATAGACATTGTTCATATGCCAAGAATAGAATGGCCAAAAAGAAAACTAAAACGAAATGCAAAGTCCCTGCTATCAAGGCACTTTTACTGAAATTGGGGAATGATGCAAACAAAAAGCAAATTACTTGCCCTGAAATAATGATGAGTACTATGAAGAACAATAAAGCAGAATGAGATAAATAGTGAGAGTCTCATTGGTTCGCATGTAGCAGTCAGTAGTCCTTCACAATTTTAAATCCTATTGGTCTCTAACATTGCCAGCCCCCCACCCCCACCCCCACCCCCCAGGATAGAGGCTATGCCTTGATTAGGTCCCAGATCCCCTGGGGAGCACCTATGCATTTCATTATATGCAGTAGCTGCTGAATCCACTCTTGCTGTAAGGTCATCCTCCTTTGCGATTTCAGAAGAAGGCTTTGAAGGATATGCCTTTCTTAGCCACTGAGCAACGTACTCATTCACTTTCAGAATGTAGAAAATTGGGTGCCCAGAGGTGTTTTTGACCCTCTCAAACAGATTCAAACTCTTTTTGTCCAGTCCATGCTGGTAATGTGGTTGCCAAGAGTTCTCTCAAAAACCTCATTGATTTTCCTTATGTTCGGTTCAAGTCAATTCAAATGCTAAAAGCCACACTCACAATTCTTTGGGAGACATATCTCTTTCTCTAGTCTTAAAAATGGTATTGTAGTGCATCAAATTTACGTGGGACTGTTCCTTAAGCTTTCTGGGAAACCTTGTATACAGGTGAAAGCAACTACCAGACTTAGAAAACATGAAGTTTGTTAATATCTGAATTCATAGGTGTTACCAAAGGGTGTTGATAGCCAAACCCTTGATTTGTTCTTTGCACTGAGACTATGTTTTACTACCAGTACCTGAATTCTGAGGCTGTCCATAAAGGTTATACATTTTATGTAGTGAGAAACCACTCCAGTTTTCAACACTGAAATCTATGGATTCTCTATATTCTCTTTAAATTCTTCTTGTAAACCAGCCAATTATTTTCTGAGTTTATCTCTGTTTTGTATTGCTTTGTCAGATATAGCTAGTCACTACCAGAGGAAAAATATAGGAATTCCAGAGGGCAAACGCAGTCATGCAAGTCTCTGATCATACAGTTATTCGGGTCTCTGATCATGTCACGTCTTGTAACATCCCATTTGTACATCATCCCATATGATCAAACTCAACGTCAATTAGAGAAGTATACTCCTTTGGAGGCTGGGTGAGGAAAGGAGAAGAAAACATTTGTTGACCAATTATCATACAATCAACCATACATAGGAATAATAAATAAAGTTCTAAATCTTCACAGAGGATAGAAGACTCTATATGTCAAAACAGATAGTACTGAGGCTGTAGAGAGTATATATAAACAGAGAGGAGGTTGTTGCAAAGGACTGTTTGACAATAGTGTAAAAATGTCAGGGGTAGAAAAACACATGCATACTCCTCTTTATGGTCTCAAAAAAGAGGAGGCAGAAAACAGTAGCTTCTTTTAGGGAAGATTTTAAAATAATTTGTATATACAAGGAACAGCCATTACATATATTCATATACATATGTCCACGGATGTTGAACCTAGAAGATTTCAAAGCTGAAAAATCAGCTTTTCAGAAAGTTATCATCTATCTCCACCTTTGAGTAAGAAGTCTCTTTTATTCTGGGAGTCATATTAGTGGTCCTTTAAATATGCAGATATAAGACAATGCATATTCCCAGAGATGAGAAGAAGGCTAGGTCCTGAAATGTGGAAGCTATAGGGACCTGACTCAGTTGTTTTGATGTCAAATTTGGGCATATGTGTTATGAGAGGACACTTCCTTTCCTTTCTTCCCACCTCTCTCCCTTCCTCCCTTTCTCCCTCTCTTTCTCTGCTTCTTTCTGTTTCCTTCTTCCTTCTCCTTTCAGTAGAACTGCCGTTTCTGATAGTTGTATTTTGTTTTTTATCCACAAGCCTTCAGTAAAATTTTGACAAAAGTGAGTCTCTGGTGTGTATCATGCTGTGAAAAATTATGATGGTGGTGTGTGTCTGTAGTTCTAACTAGTCAGGAGGCTGAGTGGGGAGGATCACTTGGGCCCAGGAGCTGTGATCACACCACTGCACTCAAGCCTGGATGACAGAGAAAGACCTTGTCTCAAAAAAAAAAAAAATACAAAGAAAGAAACACTTGTCCACATTCAGAAAGAGTAGCTAAGGGGAAATTGTATCTTTTTCAGGATTGGAGTGGCATTGAGACAACCACCTGGAGCAGAAGTTTGTGCATGACAGAGAGGGGTTTTCAAGAGGGAAGGGCATCTCAGTAAGGGAGCAGTGTGGGACATGAGAAGAAAGCCAGAGCCCAGATCCATGAGAAACAGACCTCTTGGACAGTACTTTTCAAACTATAATATGCTGTCCATTAGTGGGGAGTAAAATCAGTTTCCTGGGTAACACCACCAAAAAATAAAATAGAATAGGTTAGAATGGACTGGACTAGAATAGAAAATGCCCGTACACATAATATGTTTCAAGCTAACTACAGTATTGCTTTTGCAAACTTCCACATGGGTATACTGGGTCATGATTTATAATACACTGATGACTGGTAATTATGGCTACAGATATTTGAAAAGCATTGCTTTAGAAACTCTTAGAAATTGCTCAGGGGCACTTTAAGGGGGCCTGGAGTTTATGATACTATAGCCCGTAGAGACCTGCTGAGTTGGCTTCCTGAGTATAAGGACTTACTTTGTTCATTAATATTTTTCTGGCTCTTTGAAAAGCATCTGACATATAGTGGGTTCTCAATAAATATTCGCTGAATAAATAAATAAAACAAATAAATGTATTTCTAGTTAGCTAGTAGCTTTCCTTCTTGTGGTCATTTAAATGACATAATTTTGCGACTCCGCTGTTCTCTAGGGCTTCATTGTCATCTGCATCTAGCTGCTGGTGGGGAAAAGAGCCCAGGTAGACATCCCTGCTCTTTAAAGCCTAGGCAAGATCTAGACTCAGGTCCATTCCAAAGTGTAAAGGAAGCTGGAAAATAGAGTTCAGCTGTGTGCCCAGGAAAAGAAAGAAGTAGATTCAGTAGAAAAATGGCACAGTTAAATAAAGTATACATAATGGCACAGTTAAATAAAGTAGTACATAATACAGACCAAATAAATAATATGGTGAATGTTTTCTGTTCCAGTGAAATTGAGAGTGGTGTTTGAGAGGTTGAAAAGATGAGTTAAAGAGAGGAAATTTTAAAAAGCTAACTTATAAATATTAAACATTGATTTTTAACTTAAAAATCTAATTTGTTTTTTGCCAATTGTCAGTGCAGTTTGTACATTTAATATAGGCATTCTATTGGATATATCTTCCTTATAAAAATTATATCCATAGGGCAAACGATTATGAGATTGATTTTCAGGTTGATTTCTTGAAGTTGGAGTGAGAACTTGTGAATCAACTTGCATTCAGATTCTTCTAGATTTTTATGATTTTTCAAACTATTTTTTCACTCATATATAAGCTGACATCACATTTTTTTTAAAAAAGAACTCTGATTAAATCTTTCCATCATTTTCAGTGTTAACAGAGACAGTTCTCTGTTTTTCTATATTCATTTCATTAGCTTAACATATGAAATAATTACAATATGCACTGGAAATAAGCACATCTGAGAGCAAACATCACTTATTCTTTGTAGGCATTCAACTAAATTTTTGGGTTCATCCCCACTGGTAACCTATTAACACAAATATTCAGCATGTTGTAGGGAAAAGTCACTAGTTTTCACTGAAAGAATGGTGAGCAATGGAGAGTTGATTAATGGGAGGGATGATTGAGATGGCTTCATCTGTTCATAATTAAATATTGCTTATATCATCAATCTTTGTTTCTACACCCTTAATAGGCTCTTACAATATCTATTGTATATGCATAAATACATAAAGGTCATATATTTAATATTTTTATGTTTTCTCTTTTTGCTATTCAAACAAAGCTGAATTATATTAGAATCAATCTTGTTGGCTCACAGCTGTAATCCCAGCTACTGGAAAGGTTAAAGCAGGAGGACTGCTTGAGGCCAGGAGTTCAAGGCTGCCTGAGCTACAATAGTGCCACACCAGCCTGAGAAACAGAGCGAGACCCTGTCTAAATAAAAAATGGATCTTTTTGATTAATACATTTGTTTAGCGTGTGGATATTTTTGGTTATTAGTGAGGTTACATGTAAAGTCTTTTCTTAGTCTTGATAATAATAATAACATAACAAGGTATTTCTTTTACACTTAGTCCCCAGGCTATACATGCATCAACTCATACAATACTCTAAGCATCCTAAGGGAAGAAATATTAGTATTCCTATCTCATAAATGAGAGAACAGGTTTGAGATGTTGACTATTTTGTTATGATCACAGAGCTAGAGTCTAGGTTTAAACTAAGATACTTTGATTCCAAAGCCAATGCTCTTAACCAGTCAGTTATAAGTTTTAATCATAATTGTTAACTTTGCTTAGGTGCCTCATAAATTGACTCAGTTATTTAAGTAAGTTCCTGCTATCTAAATGTAAAATGGGGTACTACAGGCTGAAGAAACTATTTGTGAAGTCAATTATTTAACCTTTATAGGTTTTTGATTATCGTTCTGATATGCCTTCATTTAAAGCACGTAAATAATACATAACATTTCTATGTCAAGAAATTGTTCTGATAATCCTTAAATATATAACCTTTACACCATAATCTATAATCTAGCTTGTCAGGGACTGGATCTACTTTTGTTGATACCTGAATTTTCTTATTTATAGCATAGTACCTGCTCCAATAAAGATTTATTTAAGAATGCAGTGAGAGGTAATCCCAGCACTTTGAGAGGCTGAGGCGGGAAGATCGCCTGAGGTCAATAGTTCAAGACAGCCTGGCCAACTTGGTGAAACCCCGTCTCTACTAAAAATACAAAAATTAGCCACGAGTGGTGGCAGGTGCCTGTAATCCCAGCTACTCAGGAGGCTGAGGCAGGAGAATTGCTTGAACCTGGGAGGTGGAAGTTGCAGTTCAGTGAGCCAAGATCACGCCATTGCACTCCAGCCTCGGCAACAAGAGCGAAACTCTGTCTAAAAAAATAAAAAATACAGTGAAAGGATGAATTAATACTTTTTTCAGTATAATATTAATATTTCCTGAGAATGGAACAGCATGTCTAAGGTAAGAAATTGTGAAATAGCAATAAATATTTTTAGTATCAATTGATATCCTTTATTTAATCTTTTGAAATTTGTTAAGACTGATTCAGCAGTTAAAATATAAAACCTCAAATATTGTAAAACTTATGAGAAGTAATATATCTGAAGGCTTATGCCCACTAAAACAAGGTTGGGCCTTAATAAGCATAAATAGGATAATTATGTTATTAATCATCTAAAAATGTATTCCATAAAACTATCCAGTGATTATTTAATGCCAGTTTTTACCAAGAACCATTACAATTTAGAAAATTCAGGATTAGCAAATGTGTATGTTATATTTAAATCACACGTACTTCTATCTGAAAATCCATTGATTTAAACCAATATAAATTTGGTAATCTATGAGTAGGGGTTTCAGGAGGTAGCAAATGGCAGACTCACTAAAGACAGTCTAATAAAGGGACTTTTTAGAAAGGCATTTCTAGGGTTTAAGGGAACCACAAGAGATAATATAGTGCCCCAGCACAGTAACTTGTATACCTTACTAGTAATAGCTAGTAACTAGTAACGACACTTTAAATGCTACCCAATGCCTGACGATGTGAGAAGTAAAGGCAGTTATGGAGGGGGCTCTGGGCTGAGGGCTGCCTTGAAGGAGATCCTTGACCTTCAGATGAGGGATGCAGTTTCCCCTGACAACCCTACATTACCTCACTCTCATCCACCCCTTTGATCATCTACTTATGCTTCCTATATGCCTAAGCCAAAGGGTAAGGGTTCTCCTTGCTAATGTCAACACAGGACAGTTTTGCCTCCGAAGAGCAGGGTGGGTCACGGTTGAGAGTAGACTGGTTGGCACAAGCAGAAGAGATGTAGCATGTGGGCTAAACAAAAATTTTAAATTATTTTAGAAAAGATATTCAACCTCATTATTGTAATTTTAATTTACTTATTTATTTATTTTTATTTTTAAAGATAAGCTCTAACTAAATTGACCAGGCTGGTTTCAAACTCTTGGCCTCACAAAGTGCTGGGATTACAGGCATGAGCAACTATGCCTGCTCAAATTTTTTTCAATTTAAGAAGTCCTTTGTAAACTGTATTCAAAGTATAATTTCTAGCAAGCACTTAGATTTTGCATTGTGTAAACTAAATGGGAAAGTAAATACAGCAAGCCTATTAATAAAGGTATTTTTTAAATGATATTTTTAATATCATTTACATGTACATTATCATTTTAATGTGTTTGCAAGGGTGTGGAGAAAAGAAAAGTCTTGTGAACTGTTGGTTAGAATATAGACTGGTACAGCCATTGGAAAACTGTATGGAGGTTTCTAAAGAAATTAACAATAGAACTACTATATGACCCCAAAATACCTCATCTGGGCATATGCTCAAAGGAAATTAAATCACCATCTCATACTGATGATGGCATTCTCAAGTTCATTGCAGCATTATTAATAGTATCCAAAATATGGTAACAATCTGAGCGTCTGTTGACAGTTGGATGGATAAAGAAACTGTGGTATACAATGGAATATTATGCAGCCTCAAAAAAGAATGAGATCTTGCTATTTGTCACAACGTGGATGAGGCTGCAGGACATTATGCTAAGTAAAATAAAACAGACACAGAAAGAAAAATACAATATGATCTCATTTATATGTGGATTCTTCAAAATAAATTTAAATATACAAAAATAGAGAATAGGCATGGTGCAGTGGCTCACACCTATAATCACTTTAGGAGGCCAAGGTGGAGGGATCACTTGAGCTCAGGCGTTTGAGGTCACAGTAAGCTATGATTGTGCCACTGCACTCCAGCCTGGGCAACAGAGCAATACCCTGTCTTTTTTTTTTTTCTTTTAAAAAGGCAATAGAGAATACATGGTGATTACCAGGTGTAGGGGTAGGCGATGTGTGTAGGTGGGAAGGAAATGGCAAGACTAGGTCAGAAGATAAAAAGTAGCAGATACATAGGGAGAACAATTCCAGAGATCTAATGTGCATGAAGACAATAGAACTTTACTGTGGTTGAGATTCCTGCTAAATAAGCAGATTTTAGCTAATCTTGCTACAAAAATGAAAAAAAAAAGGGTAACTGTGAATAATGGAGATGTTGATTTGCTTCACTATATAGTAACCTTTCACTATCTATATGTATCCCATAATATGTTGTATATCTTAAATATACATAATTCAATTTATTTTTGTTTGTTTTTCCTATTTTTTATAAATTATACTTCAAGTTCTGGGATACATGTGTAGAACGTGCAGGTTTGTTACATAGGTATACATGTGCCATGGTGGTTTGCTGCACCCATCAGCCCATCATCTACATTAGGTATTTTTCCTAATGCTATCCCTCCTCTAACCCCCAACCTCCTGACAAGCTCTGGTGTGTGATATTCCCCTCCCTGTGTCCAGGTGTTCTCATAATTCAATTTATTAAAAAAAAAAATTTAAGTGGTACTTTTGAAAAGTGTGGTGGAGAATCATTAATTGATTTTAAAGAAAACTTTATCAATTTATTTTTAATTGACAAATAAAAATTGGATGTATTTATGGTGTACAACATGATATTTTGAAATATGTACACACTGTGGAATGGCTAAATCAAGCTAATTAATATAAGCATTGCCTCACATACTTATCATTTATTTGTGAAGAGAACAATTAAAATAACTAATATTGATGAAAGGAATAATACTTTCCTTGCCTAATCCACAAGCTTTCAGTGGGATTAAATAAAACATCTATGGACATGATGAAAATGCTATGCAAATGTAAGTTGTCTTTTTTTAAGTGAAGAAAGCAACCCTGTAATTATGCTCTTCATTTTTTCTTCCTTCATTGCATTTCTGAGAATGCACAATACTGTGTTTCTAATAATCCAGTTAAAATGCAATCAAATAATTATGATATAATGTGGTAAGTGTGGGAGATTAAATCTACATCTGGATGAGGGTTGAGCAAGGCTTCAGAGAGGAGGTGACATATGAGTTGGATTTAGAAAGCTCAATAGGAATTCAGCAGGGTGGCCAAGAAGAGGATTTCAGCAGAGGAAGGAACACAAGTGAAGACATGAATGTGTGTCACTCGTCGGCTTATTTGGGAAAGAAGGAGACCAGGGTTGCTAGCATACAAGATGTATAGGACGCAAGAAGTGGCAGAAGAGGCTGAAGAAGAAGATGTATTAGTCTGGATTCTCCAGAGAAACAGAACAAATAAGAATATATGAAGAGATTTATTATGGGAATTTCCTCACGTGGATATGGAGGATGGGAAATCCCACAACTGCAAGCTGGAGGCCCAGGAAAGCTGGTGATGTGATTCAGTCCAAGTCAGAAGGTCTGAGAATATGAGTGGGATGGGGGACTGATGGTAAGTCTTGGGTCGGAAAGCCTGTGAACTAGGAGTGCCAATGTCTGAGGGCAGGAGAAGATGGATTCCCAGCTAATGAAGACAGAACAAATTCACTCTTCCTCTGTTTTCTTTGTCTATTCAGGCCTTCAACAGATTGGACAATAGCCGACTACACTGGTGAGGGCAGATCCTCCTTACTCAGTCTACCAATTCAAATGCTACGCTCTTCCGGGAACACCTTCACAGATATACCCAGAAATGTTTACCAGTTATTTGACCATCCCTTAGCTCACTCAAGTTGACACATAAAATTAGCCATCATAGAAGAATTGCATCCAATTATCCAGGACCTTTTTTCCCTGGATAATTTATATAGTTGTATATATAATATTATATTACTGAATATATAATACATATGTTATATACTATATTACTGTATGTATACTATATTATACTGTGTATATAGAATATATATC